>NC_000001.11:62584138-62887168 GCF_000001405.40 Homo sapiens | reverse complement strand
GCACTTCGTTCATTCATTCAACAAATATTTATTGAGGTCTAAGATGTTATAGGCACTGTTCTAGATGCTAGGATTCAACAGTAAGCAAAAGACACAAAAACCCCTGCTCTCTAGACATTTACATTTTGTAGGGGGAAACACAATAAATAAGCAAACAAATAAAACAAAGATTTCCAGATGGTGATAAGTGCTATGAAGAAATGTAAAGCAAAGAATGAAGATAGAGACTTCTAGATGGGAGGGACAGTGCTGGCAAATTTCACTGCAAGACCATTGCTGATAGAATTGACACAAAGAGTGAGAATGAGAGAGGGAAATCAAGGATGACTCCAAGGTTTCTGGCCTGAGCAACTGAATGGACAGCCTTGCCATTCATTGAGATAGAAGACTGTAAAAGAGGCAGCTTTTGGGGGCAGGAGGGTGCAAATGGGGCTTTAGCTTTGATTGTGTTAAATCTGAGATGCCTACCAGATGGCCAACTGGAGATGTCAAGCAGTTAGTTAAGGGGAGAGATCCAAGGTGGAGTTATCAGTTTGGAAGTAGCAGCCATATAGATGATATTTAAAGTCATGAACCTGGAGGACATCAACAAGGAGTATAAAACAAAAGAGAAAAGACTAAGGACTAAGCTCTAGGGCACTCCAACATTGACAGATTGGAGAGATGAGGAGAAATTGAGAAGGAACATTGAAAGAGGAGAAAAACCAGGACAGCAGGGCATCCTGCAAGCCAAGAGAAGAGTGTTTCAAGAAAGAAGAATGATAACTGTCTTGAATAGTGCTAATGAGGCAAATAAAAAGAAAACTATGAATTGATCATTGCATATAACAACATGGACACAAGAGTAGTAGGTTGACACCAACAATATTGACTCGTTCAAGACCCCTAACAATACCTATATGATAGGTATTACTATAATTCCCCAGAAATAAAAATTGAAGCACAGGCAGATTAAATAACTTGCACAAGGTCACACAGCAAGAGAGTGGCAGACGTGGTATTTGAACCCCGGAAGTATAGATCTAGAGCACATTTTGCCTTGGAATATGGGAAAACAGGAGAGAGACCTTTTATGGGAAGCTGACTCTGTGGCAAAGAAGACCCTAGAATATTCCTTTTAACCTATGATTTTGCTGGAGCTCTATTTCTGTTCATGCTCCTTGATCTAATCTTCCAAGACAGAAAAAAGGGCATTGATTGACTTTAAAATTCCATTTTTGTGGAGATTTTCTGGATGAATATTTAACAACATGTGACTAGTCTAATTAGCTCAAATGGTTAGATCACAGTGACTGACACCAGGGGTACAAATGCATTCCTTAACATGGACCAGTCAGGTTTACAGAAAAAGTCTGTCTTGTGGACACAGAATACATTTTTTTCAAAGCACAAGACTTCTTCCAAATAGTGAGCCACACAACTTGTATTATTCAATTCTCCCTTCATTCCAGGTCATATCCAAGGCTTGCCTCAATGTCATCGTCTATGATAAATGATGACTAGGAACAGATAGAAATGTGAATTCAGACGTTAGAGATGCTATGTAGTCACAGAAGAAAGAAGTGTTAGTGAAAGATTTGTTTAGGATTTGGCTATCTTACAATACCATCACCCCAAATACTCAGAAATTATGTTTTAATCCCTGAAAATCGATCTTCATTGCTGCCTCAGGCTCTTTTCAACCCCTAGCCAAGTCAGGTCCTATTAAGCTCATACCCACATTCTCTTCCTCCTCCTCCTCTATGGAGATGCACCACATTGCCATCTCACCCTACCAAAATAATTCTTGCTAGGTAATACTCCTCACTGTCCCACCAGGCCAAGGATCTGATTGTCAGAAGACAAACAAAACCATCACTGAAAAATGTATGTACACTCAGTTTTTCCACTTTTTTTTTAACAGCATGGTAGAGGTGGAAGGGAACAGAAAACAAAAAGCATGGTCCTACTGATACAGCAACAACTTAATTTTTCCAGACAGATCCAAGGCTGGTTCCTATAAACTGGAAAGAAAATTTGACCAACAAAAGAAGGAGTCTAATCAGAAGATTATGAACATAATAAGAAACTAAGTTTCCCACTCACTGGTAGAAAGGTTTATTACAGCTTACGGGACATTTCAAAATGATTTCTTCTAAGTATCTTGCCTCCTTTTAAAAATCATGCATAGTCCTTGAATATGATGAGCAAACCAGCTGGGTGATGTTAAGTCTCTGTCCATGCCTGGCAGGTAATACAATGCACATAGCCATATCCACAACTGCAAAGGTTGATTCCCCACAAACCTCCCCAGCAGTATATGGATAAAAATGTGAATTTTTTTTCAGCACAGAAGCTTATACATAATCCTATTACTATCCTAGGCACCTATTAAATATGATTGAAACAACGCCCATTGGAAGTCTTAAAACCTTAACCACCAGTTTTACTTCTAAAATAAAGTAAACTGCCAAAAGTTCTGATAAAAGTGACAATTTATATTTTTAAGTAGTACAACTGGAATTTTCCTATAGCTGTAGACAAAGGAATTCTTACCCAGATAAGCAGAAGAGCACCAATAAATTTAAGGTAGCTTATGCAAGTTAGGCACTAATGAATGTCATCTTCTGTTTTGTCATGAAAAAAGATCTTTCTGCTGCTAAAGGAGACTGATTTAGATTATGAATAGCTGTAGTGATTTGCAAAAATGGCTCCAGAGAGATAGAATGAGACTCCATATACTCATGGCACTTGAGGTTTCTGCCCTTTTTGTTGAAAATTAATTTGTCCTGTGGGTTATTGGATTCTAGCTCAGCCAATGTATATTGCTCAGTCATCACAAATTTACTTAAAATTTAGTGTAGCTGAAGTTCATTCAACAAGACAAAAGTCTACAGTTGAAAGCTTCTAAAAATCTTTTTTAAAAACTGGCTAACTGTAATTGAAAGTGCTGGCATCTAAGTAGATTCACATAATGTTTTGCAGGTATCAATATATACTATATTACTATGTTAGAAATAGATTTTTCACTTGTTTTCCAAGAAAAAGCAGCTAGGGAAGATTTATCATCCTTTGGTAAGAAGACATTTTGGTTGAAGCTTCCACATTCTGAAAACACTTAAATCCCTAAATTCAGATTGGATTCTGTAATACATACCACATACTGCATTCATTCACATATACTGTAATATCACAACAAATATTTTAAAAGCAAATAAGTTATATAATTCCTGATGCTTCCAAATCCTAAATACATCACACTAAAAACAAATTAAAAGTACATATATTGTCTCCCTGTTTCATCAACTCTTACAGCAGGCAACTCACTTCCTACTTAGGATGCTACAGCATGGAGGCTTATAGATGGGAGGGCCAGAGTAAAAAGAGCCACGCTTCAGACAGAACATCAGGATACAAATCATTTGCTTTTTGACAAAAGGAACACCAGTTTAGTGACCATGCTCCTTTACCCAACAATAATGAGAGAAGAGTATACTTCCAAAGAAGCTATTGTGCAAAGATACAAAGGTGACATTAAAAAAAAAATGTACAGCTAATTGTGGGAAACAGAGCAGTTTTTAATTAATTTTTCCCTTAAAGTGATTTTCCTTAATAGATATTTCTCATGTTTATGCATTGAAATATGTATATTTAATACATAAAACCGATTTAAATATGTGTTTGATAGTCTTTTTCCCTTTGAAAATCTCGATGAATCTATAAACTTATGTAAGCTAAAATCATACCAGAGAACCTCAACTGTGATTAAGTCCATTGGGGTGGCTCCTAATTAAGTTAATGATACACAAGAGACAACTAACATTATTTGTTCATTTCATTTATAGATGAAAGATTACTAGATAATAAGACTGTTTTCTATAGAAATATTATATTACAGAGTAATTAGGAGCTAAATCTAGATGGTAAAAGCATTAGGATGTGTCATTTCATTAAGAAAAGAAAGTACATACTATTGGGGGCAACCCAAACCATAGTTGTGGATTGTTTTTTGGATAGCAGCTTTTGCTTTATTTCTTGAACCTAGACCAAAACTGAACTACACAACTGATAAAGTTCAAACTCTGAAGAGATCAGATCTTTGCTTGGGGTACAATTGCACAAAATGAGATACAGAGTGCTAACCAAATCACGACACAATGGACTGGAAATTTTAGATTAATAAACATCTTCCAATGGAGTACTAAATAACTTTTACAGTTTTATCTATGGTTATTTGTTTCTCTGAAGATTTATGGTCCTCGCAACAGATATGCATCTTATCTTTCACTTTCCAGATTAAAGAGTGATGATTTTAAACAGGCTTCTGACTGGCATAATCTAGAATTGCAGATGATCTCAATTTTTTAAAAAATGCAAAAAGTGAACTTGCAAGTCAAATGAAAATGACTTTGCGCATGTCGGATGCAGAAGGGAAAAAATCTGCATACAGCTAAACGAGTCTGATCTTCTCTTACCAATCCTGATCCCCTCGTCCTGTCCTGTATCAGCCAGGTGCAATCTGTACATGCTTATCCAGGAATTAAAATTCTTCATGCTGCTGCTGCCTTAATTGATTGATGCTAAAAGTTTAGAAAATATAACCTAACCAGCTATTACAAAGCGCCTTTAACCAAGCCTTCTCCTTTGAAAGCAGGATCCTCAATTGAAACTGGCAGACTGCATTTTTAGGTTTCAAGCAGCTCTGTCATTCTACAAGGAATGTGTCTGCCACTTCACACGATAGCTTGAGCTGAAAGACATGAACTTTGAATCAGAGAATCAATAGAACACTTAATGGACAATTAGGAGAACAGCTGTAGGACTGTCAGAGACCCATCTGTACACAGCTCAAACAGCAAGCCTGGACAGGGCCCGGGAAACAAAGTACACTGCTCCAGGGCACTGGCCCCAGTACAAAACCTCCCTTTCAGCTCTCATTTAATGTTAATATAGTGTTCTTTTTCATTACAAATTTTAACACGTGTAGAAAATTATGGAAATTGCTTAAGCCATTTGTCAACTTATATCATGTGAATTGATCAATAAATTTCACTACTTTGTTGTTAATGTAGATAAATTTTGGCATTTAATTAAGCTCCAGTGAAAATGTGGCCACTTTTAATTTCAGCAGATGCTGTCGTTTCATTTGTAATACATAACTACAGGGGTAAATACAACCCAATCATGAATTATCACTAAATATTTATAGACAACATAGCAATTCAGAAAATAGACACAAAAGATTTTCACAATGAAACAATTACGGTGTGCAAAAGCTGAAATAGGTCGTGATGAACTCTAATAGGAGTCGTGAGCAGAATCTTAATATTGTAGCTTCACAAAAGAATTACATATGTATATTTTTCCTCTCATGATCCTGTCTCTGTAGATTGTCTCTAGTCAGCAGAAATAATTTCAAATTATTTCCACAGAATTGTTCCAAAGGTTAAAAGACAGTTCCCTAAGTATGTAGAGGTATATTAAAATTTATAAATTAAAATAAAAATGTATCCTCTCATATTTGTATTTACTAAGTTTATTTGGACACAATGGAGAGGCTTCTCTTAATGAATAGAAGGAAAATCTTATGAAAGCTTATGTTGCACCCATGATTTGGATTTGGGCTATAAGGTTGGTCAAAAGAGGACACTGGCATGGGAATGGAAACAAGATGCCAGACAATGGAAAAAGCAGAATGAACTTTTGAGGCTTCCTCCATATGGCCTGAGGGGCCCCTAGATGAAATCCTGGTTCTGACAGCCAGAAGCCGTATAGCCTTAACCCTCTGTGACGTAGTTTGACATGATAAACTGCTATATATCATTTGAGGGGGAATAGGCTGCCTCTTGGTGATTCTGCTGGTGCCTTCAGGGAAAAGGGGATTCGAAATCATATTGCTGTCTTTACAGTGTAATCCTCTCCATAACACCCATACCCACCATTGTCTAAATGCTTCAGTAAGTGGGCCTAGCTAGTTCCGTAATGACTACATTTGCAGCAGAAAAGCAGACATGGGTGCCTGTGTATAGATCCTGCATAATTATATAAAAAATAAAGTTATGCAGAAGCAAAGCTGATCCCCTCATTGCTATTTTTACAATATTTCCATGTCAAATTGACCATCATGGCTGAGGCAGTTTGGCACTTTCTGTTGTTCTGGCAGAGGGGTACCTGGTCAGAGAAGATGATTCACTAAATTCAGACTCTATTAGAGAAATTAGAACTAAGCAGCCAAAGGGAAAATGGATAGGGTCTTCTTGCTGGACCAAATTATTCATCTAAATTTCCGGCCAAAATTCTCTCTCTGGCTCACTCTCACATGTTCATACTTCTTTTTATTCCAGAATTTAAATTTCCTAGGACTTGAGGCTGTTTTTACACCCTTAAGAAGTAGAAAGCGCTAGAAAATCTACCTCAGCTCCAAGACAGATAATTAGAAATCTTCTTGTCATCTCTGAAATTGAGGATTTCATGAAGGCATAATATTACTGTTTTCCGAAGTCATGTATGTCTGTGAATTTCTTTGTTTTGGGGGGAACTGAGGAAAGAAATGGGTTATTGCTTGGACTAAGGGAAATACTGGCATTTGTTAAATATTTGATGTGGGATATTTAAATGTTAAGAAAGTTCAGATATATGATTGGTTGATAAATGAAAGCTGAGATCCTAAAAATTTGGGATGGTGGTAAAGATGGCCAAAAAAATTATTTACCATTTCTCCCATCAACAAATGGAATCTATTTCCCCTACCCCTGACTCTGAACTGGGTTTGTTTTGCTCAGGAGAATGTAGCAGAAGTGCCACTGTGCCAGATCCCAGCCCAAGTCTTAACAAGTCCTGGAAGCTATTGCATTTGTGTTTTTCAGAGCCAGCTGTCATGCTGTAGAAAAATTTGGGTTAGACTGTCAAATGATGAGAGGTCACTTGGAGAGTAGTCTTGAAAGATGAGAGACCATCCTGGATGTTTAAACTCCAGGTGAACTCTCAGTTGAAAGCAACTGGATGAGTAACTGCAGCTTCACCATGTGGAGCAGAAGAACCTCACGGCTGAGCACAATCAACCACAAAATCATTAAGAATAACATGTCCTTATTAGGTTAAGACAATAATTTATTACACAGCAATAGATAACTGAAATAGAGATTTCATAATAAAAATTTCCATTCCTTTTCTTTTCAGATCCTACCCTCCTTTTCAAGTTACAACTGGCAATCACCTAGTTTCCTATGCTTCTTGGAGAAGTGACCCAATAACAATAAAACAAAAAGCCAAGATATAAGTTGAAGGCAGGGGTAGAAATATTGTTGAAAAGATGCTCAGACTGATTCCCACTGCTATTAATTTACAATTTTCTTTTTAACTTCACTCAGTATTCCAAATCTACGTCAATGCTCTAATTGGACAACAAAGGAAAGTCAGTTTCTGTAATAAGAATTCCATCCCTTTTCAGGACTGTAGTCTGGAAATCAACGGAACCCAGTTTACTTAAATATGATTTGATTTTTAAAAAGATGTCAGTAGATGTTCTGCTATTTATATTAAAGTTGCCAAACATAAACTCTTTGAGATAAATTTTCTCTCAGCTAAAATAAGCTAGATTCTAAAACACCTCTGTCATAGGTAGCTGTGTAACTTGGGCAAGTAATTTTATCTTTTTGGGACTCATCTATAAAAAGCCAATGGACTAGATAATCTTTAAAATTCCTTAAAACTCTGCCATCTTTCAAAGACAGGTCATTTTTTGAGGTGATCCCAACTCTCTCTTAATCCCTTATTGTGACCACCTTAGTGCCAACTGAAAAAATCCATTTCTATTGCCCAAGGCAGGAATGAATATATCCTTCATCTAATATTCTGTCCCTGAATAACTGAGATGGTTGTATAATTAACTTTCTCTCAGAAAACATAATCCTAACTTTTTTTTTACTCCATCATTTTATAAGAACAAAGAAGTATGACAATTTGTCTTTACCATGTAGGTCTCTAAATAGATACCCATTCTTCACAAAGTTCATAAGAAGTCAGTACATGTTTTGCTTGTGGAAAAGACCTGAGAAGAACTGAAAGGGAGCATTAACCTGGAAGGTAAAAGCTTCAAAACTTATTGGTTCTTAAGTATGTCTGGCATTGAAAATGCTGACATTAAAAATACATTGTATTTCAGGGAGGTCTTCAGTGAAAACCTGTATATATTCTCCTGTACATTTTCACCTGTGATATCTCAGAAAGGAGCAATATGGTTGCTCCTTTAATTAATTAATTCCACAAACAAATCCAAAATTTAGTAGTTTCAACCACTTATGGAATCAGATCTAGGGTTGAATCCTGAATGTATCATTTATAACCTAGATATCTTTGGGCAATTTTCTTAATCTAAGTCTCAAGTTTCTTCTCTATAAAGCACAGATTTGTTCCTGGTATGAAAATGAGATAATGCATATAAAGTGCCTAGAATAGTAAGTGCTCCATCTTCTTCCCATAGCCTTGTTACATTGATTATCAAGTAAAAATCATTTGGTTTGAGCTTCATACCTTTCAACTTTCTCTGCTCACTGCTAACAAGGAATGAACCATCCAAAAGACAAAAAGTCAGGTATAACTATTACATAGGTAACTGATCCCTGGTAAATTATAAGTTATGAGCATGAATTAAAGACAACCATGGCTTGCATGGAATAGGAGAATCCTTGACCATAAAACTGGCACCTTTGGAAGTTGTGTTAACTTGTTAAGGACACTACTTTGGTGACCTGCTTCATGAAAATTTTCTGACAGAAAAAAAAGGAAACAGATTTTAGGAGATCCCTGTGGAGTAGTTGTAATTCAGTCTAGCATAAGAATAAAACAGAAAGAGGTTCTAGACAATTTGCCCCAGATCAGTCCAGTGAGCAAATCAAAATTATAATTCACATTGTTTAATTTCCCTATTCATTAGTCAATTGTTGACTGTGCTTATTTGCCTCCTATATTAAGAAAGAGTTTGATTAGTGGCAAGAAAACATTAGAGAACAAGGTATATAACTTGTGCTCTCAATCTTCCTTCAGGGATTCCAGGCTGAATTTGCAATACACCAGAAGACAAAATCTTATTAGATCAATGATCAAAGCCTGCCCAAGTGTCCTAAGCAGCTAACCTATTGCTGCCCCAGATGAAGACTCAATTCTGGTTCACGTTCATCTGAACATACTCTTAGTGTGGAAAACATTGCTTGAGGATGAGATTGTTCTATCCCCAAACTGTACCAAACCTATGCCTAATCAATCACCTCCTGTGAAACAAGTCACTTCATTGGATCGCTACATATGCACACACAAAACCAAACCAAAAGATTCAATTCCAAAACAAAACTACTGTGGACCAATCTTGCTATAATTAGAGAGTTAAGAGAGCCATTAGGTTGGTGCAAAAGTAATTGCGGTTTTTGCCATTGAAAGTAGTAGTAAAGCTAAAGCCAACAAAGACACAAGTATGTATGATAAAGGCTTAAAAGCAGAAAAGAGAGCTGGGGAAATCTGCCAGAGAGGAAGCCAAACCATAAATACAGAAACTGGTATTGATTACATTTAGTAGGTACCTGGTAATACATGGTATATGACATAAATTCATATCAAAACCACACTACTTTTCTCTCTCTCCACTCCCATTCTTGTGGGAAGATAGCAGGCAATAGGAAGTGAGAGGAGAACATTTATAAAAAGTGTTACCCTTGACATAACTTAGGCTGAAACAGGTATCTCGATCCTTGTGCCGAGTCGGATATACCAAGTTAGATAAGAGCTCTCAGTAATTCTAAATCTTTATCTTCATATCAGTTAGAGACAGGGTCTCACTCTGTCACCCAGGCTGGAATGCAGTGGTGTGATCGTAGCTCATTACATTCTCAGACTCTTGGGCTCAAGCAATCCTCCTGCCTCAGCTTTCCAAGTATCTGGGATTATAGGCATATGCCACCACACCTAGCTTTACTTGCACTTTTGATGAGATTTTAAGATTCTAAGAGATGGTCTACCTAATGTAAGCAATGATAATAACTTTGGTGTTTCTTTGCTTTATGTGCTAATATTAAGAAAATATTTTTTATTTTGTGGAAGTCAAGTTAACCACAACCAAGGTCTGTTTGTGGCTGAGGGAGAAGCTAACTTGAATAAGAGATGTGCCTTTGGTTTAATTTCCAGAGCATACCAAATAACTTTAATGGATCACAGAGAGCTGGGTGCTGGTTCTTGAGAAGCTGATGTGTACATGTGCATAAAGTATATATTAGAAGTATATTAATACAATTCTATCTCAACAGATTTAATTCTTAAATGCTACATATACTTGTTTAATCTCCCATTTTAAAAGTAGAAAAGGTTAGATTATAACATCAGGTTAGCTCTCTTTGAAGCAGGTAATAATTAAGTTGATTCACTGTTGCAATTACTGTCAAATCCCCCTTAATTACCAGAGATTTTATAGCAGCTTCATTATACGTCTGCTGTAATGCATTGTGGCCCTAAGGAGAAGTGTTGCAGGAAATTCTGCATAGCATGGATAATTCTAACCTGCAGTTACAGCTTCTAGCGAAAGCTCCTGCACTGAATTTATCTTTTTTTTGACATTTCTCCCTGTTACTCAAGCAGTTAAACCGAAGTAACATTACTAAAATACCTATCTAACTTTGAAAGTTAGAATTGATTTCTCCATAGATATTAAAAACAAAAAGAATGAAGAAAGGATAAATTAGCCTTCAATTATTGCTGAAAAAGCATTAAATTATGTTTAATAATGAATTTAGATTAGGACATTCTAATACATATGAGATCTACATATCCAAATCACAAATATATCTTAGATTTCTACTGCTTGTGGATATTTCTTAGATGACAAGCAAGACAAAAATGATTACTGAATCCCCAAAAGATAATCTTGAAGAGGATAACCAACTCCTTTTTATTTATCAATGATTTTCCAACTTATTTCTGGGAAAAATAATCATTTTTAAAAAGGTCATTTTTAAGTTTCCCTATCACTGCTTGTTTTCACTGGAAAAATCTTTACAAATCAGAGCCTGTAAATTAAATGAAGTTCAAAACAGATAACTGAATGTCTCTCACAGATCCCTTTTTAACCAAGGAATTTACTCCACAGAATATATTAGATTCAGAAAGGGCCGCAATGTCAATGACACTATTGGCAGCTGTGTTAACAGTTAAGGGCCTGGCTTTGTACAGCAATACAGTTATTAAATTTCTCCGGAGACCATGACTCATTAATCAAATATTCATACATCTCTGTAAATACACACTGAACAGAGAATACCCTCAGAGCCGAGCATCCCAATACAAGTGCTCTTTCATGTAACACTGACAAAATCCTGAGAACATGTGGTCATGTTTTGCATTTCTAATGCACTATGTACTCTTTAATACTCCATTTCCTAAAATCAGAACACAAATGATCTTACTGATGGCAAGTGTTAGATGGTTACAATTAAAATTATTCCACTATTGCTTCATACCATCTTTTTTTAAAATGAGGACAGTGAACCAATTCTTCTATTCTTTGTTTACCATCAAACAAGTAATTTTTTCCCAGACGGATGAAGAAACCCAGGGCCATGCTCCTATTAATACAAGAATTTGTATTAGCATGAAAACAACAAATCACTACTTAAACTAGAGAGGCCAAATAACTTAACATATTAGCAGACATGAACTTGCTATATTTTGCAAAGTCCTCAGTCTGTTTTATACCACTGGGAGTTTTCCCCCTATTGTACAGTAACAAAAGGTCTTTCTCAATTGCAGTCTCTAGAAAATTGGGGTCTGAAGGCCAGGCAAAGGAGAGAAGGCTCAAAATGTCACCTCATAAGGCTACTACTAAGAGCAGTTTCCCCACCTCAGGGTGGGCAGGAGTACTATGCCAAGGGAAGAGAGAAAAGGAGCATCTTACATAAATTTACCATCTGTGTAACAGTTTCTGAAACAATGGGGACTTGATTCTCAATGCCACTAAAATATAAGCAAATTTTCGTCAAATGCCACCTCATCTCCTCACCCCCTCCGGCCTACCACCCAGACTGCCTGTGTCTTTAACCCGTTTTCCAAAATTCTTTCCAAAACCAGGTCAAAGACTTCCCTTCCACAGTCTCCCTGCTTTCATCCCCATCCAGCTCGGTCCTCACATGCCATTTTCTCTAGCCTCTTCCTCTTGGTCTTTTGGAACATCTAATTCAATATGATGTAGGAAAAACTAGAGCAGGCTTTGGAATCAGGAGAGGTTTAAATCTCAGATCTGCAGATTGCCAACTGCGATAATTTGGCAAATTAACATATCAGACCCTCAATTTCTTCATCTGTAAAATGGCAAGGATAAAAATATCTACTTCCCAGGATTTTTGCAAAGATTAAATAATATGTATTTTATATTTAGTAAGCACCCAATGTCAGTTGTTGCCATTGGCAATCATTAATCCTCTATCTCTTAACATTAACTCAAACTTTCATTTTCCTGGCAGTACTAATTCTCTCCTAAACTTAACCAGCAAGGACACTCCTCCTTCCATTTAAATCCCTCTGATTCAGGTAGCTTTGCATTCCCACTTCCAGATGACTCTGTTATCACTTCACACTCTCTTCTGCAGATGCTTACACCATCTATTTCACTCAACATGCTCCAACTCCAAATTTCGGCCTGAAATTGTTTTTCCAATCATTCTCACAAGATTCTACCATTCTATTTCCCAAACTTCATCACTTTACATCATTTGGAAGTCTGGTAAAGCCTAGTGTCTCCTTCTCAGAAAAATGTTTTAAAATGTAAATTAAAATGCACATGAATAAAAATTTTAAAATTTTACTATAAATTATAATTTACTATAAATTATACTTTTTTTTTTTTTTTTTTTTTTTTTTGAGACGGAGTCTCGCTCTGTCGCCCAGGCTGGAGTGCAGTGGCGCGATCTCGGCTCACTGCAAGCTCCGCCTCCCGGGTTCATGCCATTCTCCTGCCTCAGCCTCCCAAGTAGCTGGGACTACAGGCGCCCGCCAACACGCCCGGCTAATTTTTTGTATTTTTAGTAGAAACGGGGTTTCACCGTGTTAGCCAAGATGGTCTCGATCTCCTGACCTCGTGATCCGCCCGTCTCGGCCTCCCAAAGTGCTAGGATTACAGGCACGAGCCACCGCGCCCGGCCAATTATACATTTTTAAAAATTTGTAACTATAGTAATGTATTTGCTTCTCTATCAACACATTTAAAAATCCTAGTAGCAAAACCTACCAAAATTTCAAAGCAGTGTAAATACTTCAAGGTATCTATATTAGCTGTAATATAAAAAATATCTATAATTTCTATTAGTAGTAATGTTCTAGCTACTGCTAACACTGCTATATTTTGTTGTCTGTATTCTTATTGAAAGGAAATACTATATTTCAGGTAGATGTTGGTAAAAATAAAGATGTAAATGTTTTTCCAACCCAAGCTCATGAACCCCTAAATTCTATTCATGGGTTCATCAGGTTAAGAACCCCAGCATTAAATGACCTACTCTCTCTGCCCCATCTAAATTCACTGAGTATATGCATAAATTCACTAAGTATATGCATAGAATGTATAGAATTATATCTAGGTAAAACAGAATCTAAGAATAGGGCTTGAGGAATCACATTCCAATTTTAAATTTTCATATTTTAAAGTGTTAAAACCAAAACCCTGCTCTTCTGATGTCTACACCCTTTTTTTCCCCCTTCATAGCATTCTTCTTCCTGTTTCTCTTCTAGGCATCCACCTAATTATACGTTTCAGCCTGGCCATCACAGCCCTCAGTCACCTGCAGAATGTTTAGCATCACCCCTTACTACCTACTAGCAGTGCTCCCTAGCCAGTACAACCAAAACCAGCCACATGCACCTCAACTGTGCCCCGTGGGGATGGCCCCTGCCCCAAACCCACTTCTGTTTAGAAAGCAGGACCCTGGACCCTGGCTCTCAGTCTTTGTGTTGTTTCTTATTAGTTCAGATACTTACCTTATCACTGCCTGTATATAAATCAAATCAAGACTTTTAGAATTCATCCAAAATGCCACCTCCTCCGGGAAGACTTGCCTAATCCCCATAACCATATGTGAGCTGTCTTCTTTTGAAACCAAATAACCTTTTACTTTGTATAACTTCTATTATAAACATTCTCTTTCTCGATCATGGATGAGTTTTTTGTGTATTTTCCCCATCCTTAATTCTAAGCTCCCTGACAGAAGTGTCACTTTTTAAAAAATCTCAATGTATTCTGTAGTGCTTCATGGACATTCAATATTAGCATAGAATTAAGAGGTTTTTGTTTTATTTTTCCTAATTCTTGCATTCCAATGCCAGTTCAAAAAAAAAAAAGGAATTTTAAAGTCTTTTCAAATCTTGAGACTGGCATGAATAAAATCTTTACAACACTTTTAAAGGCTAACACTTATTGAGTACTTACTGTGTGCCAGGCACTTTTCTAATAAGTGTTTCACATGTTTCCTCCCTTAATCCTTACAACAGCCTTCTGCTGCTACTATACTACGACAGTGACTGTTATCCCCATTTTATAGATGTTAAGTACTTGCTCAAGGCCATATTGCTGGTAAGTGCTAAAGTCACAATTTGAGCTGAGCCAGTCTGACTCTACAGTTTAACCAGTTCATTATGTCTTCTCAAATGTATAACACTGGAGTTTGACCAAAAAATTAAGCATCTGTTTTCCCCAAAATATAAAGATTCGTATTTTTTTCCAAACTAGTAGTACTGGGTGAATATGTAAAGCCTTACTTTTGAAGCACTTGTTCTGGATGATGCAATGGTATAATGTAATCTACTATAATTGATTTGTTCTTATACAACATGATCATAGTTCTAAGAACTGTATTTTGCATGTTTTACTTTCTAAACATGTATCTTCAGCATTTTGGGCCAATTTTCTACTATGTAAAATTTCAATAATAAAAATAAAGATTTATGTTTTAAAAATAAAGACTGGGCTGGGCGCAGTGGCTCATGTCTGTAATCCCACCACTTTGGCAGGCCGAGACAGGTGGATCACTTGAGGTCAGGAGTTCAAGACCAGCCTGGCCAACATGGTGAAACCCCGTCTCTACTAAAAATACAAAAATTAGCTGGGTATGGTAGTGCACACCTGTAATCCCAGCTACGTGGGAGGCTGAGGCGAGAAAATAGCTTGAGCCCAAGGGGCAGAGGTTACAGTGAGCTGAGATCACGCCACTGCACTCCAGCCTGGGCGATAGGGCAAAACTCCATCTCAAAAAAAAAAAAAAAAAAGAATAAATAAATGAAGACTGAAAGAAATGAGAAAACATTTTCCAGAAATTGCCATGCAATGTTGAAAAAGAAGAACAGAGCTGAAGGACTTACACCTCCCAATTGCAGAATTTATTACAAAGCCAAGGTAATCAAGACAGTATCAAACTGGCATGAGGCTAGATAAATGGAATAGATTTGAGAGTCTACAAATAAACCCTTATATTTACAGTCAGTTGACTTTCAACAAGGGCGACAACACTATTCATTTGTTGAAAAGAGTAGTCTTTTCAACAAATGGTGCTTGGACAACTGGACATTACATGCAAAAGAATAAACACCTACCTCACACCATATACAAAAATCAACTCAAAATGGATTTAAAACAAAAAACAAAAAAAAAACCTAGGCCAAGCATGGTGGCTCACGCCTGTAATCCCAGCACTTTGGGAGGCCGAGGCGGGTGGATCATAAGGTCAGGAGTTCAAGACCAGCCTGACCAACATGGTGAATCCCCATCTCTACTAAAAATACAAAAATTAGCTGGGTGTGGTGGCGCATGCCTGTAATCCCAGCTACTCAGGAGGCTGAGGCAGGAGAATCGGTTGATCCTGGGAGGCAGAGGTTGCAGTGAGCCAAGATCACACCACTGCACTCCAGCCTGCACTCCAGCGACAGAGTGAGACTGTCTCTTTAAAAAAAAAAAAAAAAAAAAACCCTAAATGTAACAGCTAAAACTATAAAACTCTTAGGAGAAAGTATAGGTATAGACCCCTTTAGGACCTTGAATCAATCAATGGTTTCTCAGATATAACACCAAATGCACAAGAAATTAAAAAAACATAAATTAGACTTTATCAAAATTAAAACTTTCAGTAGTTCATAGGATACCATCAACAAAGTAAAAAGATGGCTGGGCACGGTTGCCCACATCTGTAATCCCAGCACTTTGAGAGGCCGAGGCAGACAGATAACTTGAGGCCAGGAGTTCAAGACCATCCTGACCAACATGGCAAAACCCCATCTCTAATAAAAAATATAAAAATTAGCCAACATGGTGGTGCAAGCCTGTAATCCCAGGTACTTGGGAGGCTGAGGCACAAGAATCACTTGAACCCGGGAGGTGGGGGTCACAGTGAGCTGAGATCGTGCCACTGCACTCTAGCCTGGGCGACAGAGCGAGACTCTGCCTCAAAAAAAAAAAAAAAAAGATAAAAAGACAACCTACAGAACAAGAGAAAATGCTTGTAAATCATATATCTGATGAAGTACTTGTATCCCAAATATGCAAAGAACACTTATAACTCAATAATATAAACACAAATAACCTAAATTTAAAATGAGCAAAGATTTTAAATATACATTTTTCCAAAGAAGACATAAAAGTGGTCAACAAGCATATGGAAAGATAAACATTATTAGTCACTAGGAAAATGAAAATCAAAACCAAAATAAGGTACCATTCACACATACTCTGCTGGCTAAAATTTAAAAGCTAGACAATAACAAGGGTTAGTGAGAAAGTAGAAAAGCCAGAACCCTCATACATTGCTGCTAGGATTGTGTAATGGTGAACCACTTTGGAAAACAGTTTAGGAATTCCTCAAATAGTTAAACATAGTTATAAACATGATCAGCAACTCTACTCCTAGGCAAATATCCAGTAGAAATGAAAATATACACCCACACAAAATCATGTACACAAATGTTCTGAACAGCATTATTCATAGTAGCTAAAAAGTAGAAAAAAATCGCAATGTCCATCAATTGATGAATAAGGAAAATGTGGTATACCCATCTAATAGAATATTACTGTCATAAAAAAAAGTAATGAGGTGCTAACAAATACATGCAATAACATGGAAGAAACTTGAAAAAAATTATGGCAAGTTAAAGGAGTCAGACACAAAAGGCCATATAGTGTATGATTCCATTTAGATGAAATGTCCAGATTAGGCAAATCCATACAGGCAGAAAGATTAGTGGTTGCTAGGGCTGGGGACGGAAGAAAAAAGGGGTGAAGAATGGGAAGTGAGAGTGGGTACAGGGCTTCTTTTTAGGGTAATTAAAATACTCAGGAATTTGGTAATGGCAATCATTACACAACTATGACTATATTAAAAACCACTAAATTGTGGTTTTTAAAGTTATTTTACTTTAAAAGGTTGAAGTGTCTAATGTGTAAATTACATCTCAATAAAGCTATTATTTAAAAAAGAAAACCCCAAGATACTACTTCACACACACAGTAGAATGGCTATAACAAAAAGACAGAAAACAGAACTATGTAGACATTAGACGTATATCATCTGACGCCCCTGAGCCACCTTAAACATTATGGAATTTGGACTTTTAAACATCATCTGACGAAGATGCACTTTGAGCTCTGAGTTGATGCTGCCTGCCAGCTAATATCACAATCTTTGTATAGCAGATTAGATAACTGTTGGATTTTATATTTCATTCCCTCTTATTTTGCAGGAAAACAGAAAAATCACAGTGCTAAAACTAGTGCTAAGAAATGTAGATCTCATAAATTTAATATAAAGATAGAAATAATCATTAGCCTCAATGAAATGCTCAGTCAACTGTATATTCTACTATAAGTCAACTTTAAGTCAGTCAATTGAATGTTCTAATACAAAAGAACAAAAAAGAAAGATCTGTGAGATACCAAAAGTGTATCATTAAGACCATGTAAAAGCCTATATGATTAAAAATAATTTGGTTTTAAATATTTTTATATTTTTAACTCTCTGCATAAGAACCTTCCTTAAAACACTGTTTAAAAATATCTATTGTTCAGTTCCTTCATATTCAACTGTCTCAAGTGTTTGTGGGAACATATTACATACAAAACCAAGAATGTCTCTGTAGGTATAGACATGTGCTAGTGGCCATAAGACTGGCCAAGCCCAGGTCAGGTCTAGGAGCCAACCACAAGTCACGGGAAAGACCAACATGCAGGTCAGAGGCATAAAACAGTCAGTATATAGATCCAAATACAAAAGACAGAATAAGTGGTGGCCCTCTTCATCAATAGAATAAAGAAATAGGAATCAAAATTCAACCTATTGAACACGCTTAAAGAGTAATGAGAATACGAACCTAAAGTAGAAGGGAGTATAGAAAAATGAAAGTAATATGTTGAAGTATCATGTAAGTATAGGTTGATCCTTTCCAAATGATATATATTTAAAGTATTTTAGAAATAATTTAAATAACCAGACAGTTGACCATGGACTCTCCTTACCTGTTCCATTATGTGATCATCTAAGTCCCAGAACTCATATTAATTGTTCCGTCAATCCCAGATCTAATTCCCCATCTTAGATTCATTAGCTATATTTTAATACAAATGAACTAAACTGAACAGTGCAGCATAAATAGCAAGTAGTATGTAAATATTAGGAACTCAAATGCTACATTGCACAATTCCAGGGAGTACCATTCATGTAACATATACTAAAAATTAGTGTCCCGTGGAGTTCTGCAACATGGTAGCCCCATATCCACTGGCCCTTATCAGTATTTACATTCTTCTACTGCCTACATTTAATTTTAAATCATCCCAGCCCACAATACTTTTTAATTAATGTATTTTTATCTGTGTCAGTTTGCTATGGTGTATTTGCCTAGATACACTCAAAACTTGCTGTTAATCATTCTCTTATCCTTTTGTTATAACTTCTATTGGATTTCAACTTTCTTTTGTTTACCTTTCCTGCTTATAAAACAACTTTTTATAAAACCCTTGACTTCTCTATTTTATTAATGAATATTAGTATATTTATTTATAATACTTATAAATATATGTATCATATTTATAAATAATTTTTAAATAATTTAAATGAAAGACAATTCTGAGTAGAATATTTTCTTATCATTCACTCTTGGATGACAATTTTGGAAGACTGAGTTTCTACATTTCTGGAAGAACTGGTTGGAGAGAGGGTAGCACAGAAAGAGTAATCTTCCCTTCTAATAACATGTATTCTCCACATTTAGCATATTTTTCTTATCACTGTGAGAGAATAAGTGAAATTTTATAACTGTAGTTGTGAATGTTTTGGGCCATTGCTTGCCACCAATAACGTCAAGAAGGACTGTAAAAAAGAGAGGAAAATGCTAACTCAAAAATGTGTCTGCAATACCAACTCTAAATATAATATTTTTCAAAGTTTATAGTCAAGGAAAAAGTCTTTAAATAACCATGAAAGCCACACAAAAATGCTTAAGATTTTAAAACTGACTTAAGATTCAAAATATGAAATGATATAAAATTTATATTTTATAATCAATAGGATGTTTCCAATTCTCCTGGCCTGATGTTTCACCTTTTCAGTTCTGTATCTGAGTACTCAGTATAAAGGCTCAGAGAAATAGCAATATTGAATGGTGGTTGACTGACAATACTGAGGGTATAATAAATGTCACATGATAAATATTTACTCGCCTAGAGTTTTTTTGGGGAAGACATTTACTCTCCTTTTTTTATAGAAAATAATCCCTTATCCTTTCCAAGAATTGCCTCTATCATATATTCTGAATATCTTGCTTCTATTTCACCATGATTTTAAATTCTCAGTTTCCTACCCATTTCTGTTTAAGTAACAATTCATGTAGTGATTTCATATTTTCAAGTTGTTCTGTCATTATCTGTCCTTCCTTGTTTCTTGATTTTAGAAAATCCTTTATAGTTTTTCATGATTATTTAGGAACATATAGTCAAAAAGACAATGTCAAATGCAAGCTATTAAAGGTGATCTGTGATAAACCATGAAAATGAAACTTCCTAGTAAAAATTAAAGAAAAAAAGAGGGGCCTGTCTTGGGGTGGGCGGAAGGAGGAGGGATAGCATTAGGAGATATACCTAATATAAATGACGAGTTAACGGGTGCAGCACACCAACATGGCACATGTATACATATGTAACAAATCTGCACGTTGTGCACATGTACCCCAGAACTTACAGTATAATAAAAAATAAAATAAACAGAATAAAGTGCTTTCTAGTATTGAATAATGGAAGGGAACTAGAGGTCTCTAAAAAATAGAGATTCTTGCCTAAAATTAGATAGATTATATAGCTAAGTCATTTTTGCTGTTAATCTTCTAAAAACAAGATGGAATTAACATATATATTTAGATATGTTTGCCCTTGGACAATGTTAAATCTTAATGATCATAGAACACAAAAGCAACCTAAATTTTTAATCCTCTAAAGTTGTCTTCTCACTAATACAGATTTAATGAGGTTGGTTTAATGTAAAAACAGAAATATGAATACCTCAAGGAAATTTTCTGGATATACTTACACTGTAAAGGATCTTTTCCTTCACTCATTCAGCAAATTATGACCCTTAAGATTGCCTGCTGGTGGTTAACACATTGACAAAAAGGGATTCAAAGTGTCAAATCTTATGAAGAAAAGAGAAAAGAAAACCTCACCATCAGAAAGTCACATCAAGAATTTTAAAAATTCATTTCTGAAATGTTAATGGTAAAATCCAGTATCTTAATATTAATGTGCAAATGGAGGATTCTCCTATCATAGTTCTAGCAGAACACTCATCTTAGAATCTTGTCCTTTTTGACTTTCCTTTATTCCAGGCTGAAAAAGATCATCCATAAGCTTTATTGACTGAGTTTACTAGCTGTCAGAACTTGAAATGAAATCTGTGTTCACAACAAAGTCTGAAACCAGGATGTACAGTACGTTTGTTCTAAATCTAATGATATACTTTTGTTGGTGCCTTCCAAATAAAAGATTAGCATAACTTTTGGCTGGTCGTTGACTGAAGGTGAATTACTAGGCAAAATAAATTGACCCCCTCTCAATTATCATGCATGCATTCATTCACTTACACATATTAGTCAATACTTTTATGTGCCTTATTACGTAAAACAATTTCTGATTCCAAACATTTATTCCCAGTCATGAGGATGACTGTACTGTAAGATTTGTCTGTAAAATATACTAAGTGTTTTCCATACAATTCAATGTAAAGGAAATTTTTGCCTCCTCTCACATTAACTTTGTCCAGGTGTAACCTTGTCTCATTCCAATAATCTACCTAAAAATGATCCCTAAATATGTTGAAGAAATAACACTGCTATTCTGTAACTCTTAAGCTTTTATATTAGTTCTTGTAAGAACATTTACAACTGGTTCAGACCCACTTGAAGGTATGGGTGCTCTCATTGGATGTGTTTACCATAGAATCCTGTGAATACAGCAGCTATATAGGAACAGTAAATTGCAATAGCTTAGATCAGACAACTGCAGTGTATAAAATCTGGTATACCACTGGCTTCTTGTTCCTATATTGCTTTGACATTCTAGGAAAATTAGTATTGGACTTAAATTTGTGCTGACTGTATTTAGACTAAAGAAAACTTTTAGATTTCAGACTATTTATTTCAACTCAGTAAGTAATCTTCACTGAGAAATGTCAAACCTGATTTTTCTCATCAGGTATACTAAAACAATCCGCCCACCCTCTCTTTCAGCTTTACATGCAACTCTAAACAAACAGGTTTTCTGATGGAAGAGATCAATGACTTTAGATGATACACAATTTTATGTCTTTATAAGTCACGTTTCTACACTGAAACATGAAAGCTCCACTTAAAAAAATTAATATTGTTTTCAGAGCAATATATGCATTTATTATAAATGAACAGAATTCATTTGAGACACTGATTTTTCAAATGAAAGGATTAAAATAATCCCAACATTAAAACCAAAACAAAAGCATTTTATCTTCTCACATCTTTATTATGTATTTTATAATCCTAGCTCAAAAATCACTCTTGTACTTTTAGATCACAAATTTGCCTTTAAGTAACACATAATACACTTAAGGCAGATTTGCCTTACAGGTGGCCTCAGCTTCTAAACACCACTACACTGCTTTATATAAAAAACAAAAATCACATAGAAGAGAATCTAGTGACATCTTTCTTGGTATTTTAAACTTAAAAACTGCATAATAAATTGAGTTCCCATAAAATTTCGCCCTTGAGATAGGAAACAAACACTACTACTATTTTATAGTTGCCTTTATCTGACTTGATTGATGCAGTTATAATAGTATTAATAACATAATCTTTAAATTTGTGAGGGAAAACCAATACTTTATATTCACTCCTCATAAAAGGTTCAACAGCAAGCATAATGAGGAGCCATTATAAAATCATATTGCTAAGTATTACTTTAACTCATAATTCTGCTTATATAAGTGTATGCATATCACAGTTAACAAATACTATTTAATTATCAAGACATATGCAAAAGTATTCTTTGATTGCATTAATAGCAGGAGGCTAGACAGCATTAAAGTTTCCTTCTCTGATCTTCTGGTCTTCAGTACAAACTGAGAATTTTGAAACTATTTGGTGATCCCAGTCTTTGGGGGAGGGTTAATATCACAAAACCTCCATGAGAACAATGGGCTCAGGTGGAAGACTTTGAAGACTAAAAGGCTTACAGTTAAGGTAGAATTATCACTAGTAGATCTTAGGGAAATAGGAATGCAACCAGAATCACTCAATTTATTTATTAGAAAGCAAGATTCATTAAATCATTTCTCTTTTAGAAAAATATCTTTAACTGTTATATTTTCAAATGTTCTTTTTTAAAGAACATATAAAATTAAGATATTTGTGAAAATAAACATTTCAGATATACTTGTTTCTCTTCATTTTTCCCCTTTCAATGGAATTCTTCTTATCAAGCACAAATGTGCTAATCTTTAAAGCAAGACAAACTCTTCCGTGCTAAATCTTTTTAATTGTTTCTTTTCATCCTCTGAAAAAAGGTCTTCTTCATTGGTTGTAGTAGATGTAAAATCATAGTCTCTGGAATGACCATTTACAAAAGTAAATAAGGGATATTTCTCCTTAGAAGAAAATTTCAGCATCTGTAACAGAAAGTATAGAAGAATTCCTTATTGGATGCAATAGTGCACACTAAGACCACACGACAAATCTACTGTTTTAGCCCTGAACCTCTCCTGTTAGCTTCTTTCATTTACATTCACCCAGTGCTACTCCTTTGCCTGTTCTGGCTAAAAGACAAAAAATGATTAGCATTGTATTGTTTATTTATAGGTAAATGCATGCTCCTTCATTGGGATTAAATCATCAAAGTATATGCTCACTCTCACCTCCCACTTCCCCAAAGTAAGTTTTCTGGTCACATTAGTCTGAAGAAATACTAGAGAGTTAGGTTGTAATTTATCTTCTTTAGGTAGTAATAGACAATGAAACAAAATGGTATCACTGACTATGATAAAATATTGTAGAAGACTGTTTGGTAATCTAGGCAGTAAACTGAGTCAGAAGGTCCATTCTAATCTCTGTTTTGTAACTAACCTTGATGTGACCTTGGACACATCACTCTACCTGAATAACATCTATAAAACAGGGTAATCACTGCTCGGCTTTTTGGCTAAGATCAAGTGTACAAAAACAGAGCAAAAGAAATCCAATTTTTCTACCTCAGAGAACTGTTAAGAAGATCAAAAGCAATAATATGAAGTTATTTTTAAAAAATAACTTTGGTCTTTTCAAAGATTCCCTTTTAAAAAATATTTTAAATAAACTATTTCTACAATAATCTAGTCAACATGAAAAATGACCTTCTCACACATAGTAATAATCCACATTTTACATATTATCTTCTAAAGTTACATTACATACAAAAAAAAGCAATACCTAGAATTTTGTGAGGATATTCACAACCTTTATAGCCCATCAATTTGAGATTCACAAGTATAATATAAACAATTTTAAATATTTCTGTTAAACAAGTTCTATTCAAAACTTTTAATGATTTTCATTAAAAAATGAATTAAACATTTTGAGTAAAGGATGTTTTGACAAAAAGAAATTTTCAATAGGTAAGCAGGGCCACAGGAATTCCGAAAAGTTACTATGCAATTTACAGAGAATGCTAAAAAGAATACAGTATTTATATACAACATAATTATTGTCAGTTAAATGCAATTTGTTTTTAAAAGATAATTTCAGAGGCAAAACTGCATTATCTCAAATGTCAACATTCAACTGAAGGATCATCAATTTCTTACATATTACATTTATAGATTCTCTTGAAACATGGCCAGATAGGTAGGCCTAGCATATGATATAAAATTAAAAATATTTCAATGAGACAACTATATAAAATATATTTTTAATTGAATGGAAATGAACCATTAAAAAACAATCAATATTAACAAAACTAGACATGATGAAAATCAGATCCTATAGTTCATATTGTGCTTATTTATACATTGCTGAAATTTATTTTATTTATATACTACAAAAAAGAGAAGAGAGAAGACCAAAAATGTGTAAAATGAAAAATAAGAGGCAGAGAGTATTGGCATCTGATTAATCATCTTTCACCTCCAGCCAATAGCTGGAATATAGTCCAAAAACTGTTGTCATTTTTATATTCATTTAATGTCACTTGTAAAAGTCCAGTATCTAACGGGCAAGTATCCACATATCATTTTCAGATCAACACAGCAGAGTTAACATTATCATCTCTTCATCCTTTCTTTCAAGATTAAGAAAGGAGTTATTCGGGTTTATTAATATAGGACTAAGTTGCTCATCAAAGTTAAGATTCAAATCTGTGTCCCAGGTGAAAAAAAAAGTCAGAAAGGAAACTGCTACCCTTTAATTTAAAAATGCATCTACTTTTTGCAAATCTTTTTGCAGTATAAGGTCTCCTTATGCACAATATTTATTGATTCAGGCTTGGAGAATTATTTTCCAAACTTTGCTGAGTTTATTTAAGTATTTAAAGAGTATCAAATTAACAATATATTAAAGGTTTACCCAAATGAGTTGAAAATTTATGTCCACATAAAATCCTGCACATGGATGTTTATAATAGCAGCTTTAATCATAATTTGATTCTGAAAAGTTTAAAATGTGAAAAGGTTAGTGTTCTTTTTTATATTACAAGAATGGCTACATTGTCAAAACCTTAAAAGTCCTTCCATAATGGATGGTATAATATCCAAATGAAAAAATACAATTTAGGCTATCTATGTGACATGGAGATACTATACAAAATAAAAGTTAATCTAAATTATTTGATAACTTGGAAAATGTTTATTACATAATCCTTAAAAAAGATATAAAGCTATAAAATTTAGTTTCAATTATGTTAAAATAATTTCAAATATATATTTTGAAAAGACTGAAAGATAACAAAACATTAAGTTACCTCTGAATGAAACAGTGATTTTTCTCATGTGTTTGTGTCTCTCTGTGTGTGTGTGTGTGTGTGTGTGTGTGTGTGTGTGTGTGTGTGTGTGTGTTCTATTTTCCAAGCTTCTTTCTTCTGAAACATACTCTCACTCTGTCGTCCAGGCTGGAGTGCAGTGGCATGATCACGGCTCACGGCTCACTGCAGCCTCGACCTCCTGGACTCAAATGATCCTTCTACTTCAGGCTCCCGAGTAGCTGGGACTACAGGTATGTGCCACCATACCTGGCTAATTTTGTATTTTTTATGCAAATGGGGTCTCACTATGTTGCCCAGGCTGGTCTCAAACTCCTGAACTCAAGTGATCTGCCCGCCTCTGCCTCCCAAAGTGTTGGGATTACAGGCATGAGTCACCACGGCCAGCCTATTTTTCGAACTTTCTAACATGTAATTCTTCTATTACATAGTAGGAGAAAACTATTATTTAAAAAAAATTTAAGGTAACTGAATTCACCATCTCATAGTTGTTTTTTAAAAGGGAATTCAGTGGTTTGCTCAACAACTTTAGAACAGGCAATTCTAAACTCTGTACTACTGTAATAACACAGCTAAAGCTACACTGAAGCTACTTTATTAGCTAAAAGGCAAAGCATACATTTCAGGAGATCAAATATTTTATCACACCTTTCCTAAGTACTGAGTTGACAGGTTTCAGAATTTACAAAGGAAAAAGCTGGAGGACAGAAGTTAAGCAATGTATACCATAATAAAGCTAGTAGTTGGTAGGACAGAAATAGAACCAGGAGATGATCACTTCTCCTCAAGCCAAAACTTTTTCCACTAGTCCCTGCCACCATATATGTAAAATTATTCCCCAGTACAGGGCAGTGTATATCTATGTAGCATATATTCACCACACTAGAGCTATACCCTATGTAGGGGTTAAGCTCTAAAGTCAGCCCATACTGCAAAATCAAGCACTGTCAAAAATCACCTTTAACAAGTCTTTAAATTGTTTAAAGGGTGATATGCATAATCTTGTGGATGTAACACTGTTCAGTAATATGTATAAATGTAAAATATATAGTTATGTAAATAGTACAGTCATGTGCCACAGAATAACATTTCAGTCAACAAGGACCACATACAACAGTGGTCCTATAAGATAATAATGCAGCTGAAAAATTCCTATCACCTAGTGTTGTCACAGCTGTCATAATGTCATTCCACAATGCATTATTCACAAGTTTGTAGTGATGCTGGTGTAAACAAACTGATTGTATGGCAGATAAAATTATGTACAGTACATAATATTTGATAATAAATGACTTAGTGGTTTAAGTATTTACTATACAATTTTTTATTATTTTAGAGTGTACTCATTTTACTTTTTTAAAAAGAAATTACCTGTAGAACAGCCTCAGGCAGGTGCTTTAGGAGGCACTGCAGAAGAAGGCACTGTTATCATAGGAGATGACAGCTGCATGTGTGTTACCATCCCTGGAGACCTTCTAGTGGGACAAGATGTAGGGGTAGAAGATAGTGGTATTGATGATCCTGACCCTGGGTAGGCCTAAACTAATGTGTATGTTTGTGTTTTCATTTTTAACAAAAAAGTTTAAAAGGAAAAGAATAAATTTTAAAAATAGAAAAAATCTTATAGAATAAGAATAGAAAGAAAATATCTTTGTAGAGCTGTACAATGTGTTTGTGTTTTAAACTAAGTGCTTATAAAACAGTCAAAAAGCTAAAAATAATTTAAAACTTTATAAAGTTAAAAAGTTACAGTAAGATGGTGAAACCCCATCTCTACTAAAAATACAAAAATTAGCCAGGTGTGGTGGTGGGCGCCTGTAATCCCAGCTACTCAGGAGGCTGAGGCAGAGAATTGCTTGAACCTGGGAGGCGGAGGTTGCAGTCAGTCAAGATTGCACCACTGCACTCCAGCCTGGCGACAGAGCGAGACTCCATCTCAAAAGAAAAAAAAAAGTTACAGAAAGATATGGTTAATTTATTATTGAAGAAATATGTTTTCTCATAAATTTAGTGTAGCCTAAGTGTACAGTGTTTATAAAGTCTATTGTAGTGTACAGTAGTGTCCTAGGCCTTCACATTCACTCACCACAGACTCACTAATTCACCCAGAGCAACCTCCAGTCCTGCAGGTGCCATTCATGGTAAATTCCCTACACAGGTACACCATTTTTTATTTTTTATACCATCTTTTTATAATATCTTTTCTATGTTTAGATACATTTAGATACACAAATACTTACCATTGTGTTATAATTGCCTCTAGTATTCAGTACAGTAACATGCTGTACAGATTTGTAGTCCAGGAGCAACAGGCTATACAGTTTGAATATTCCTTACCTGAAATGCTTAGGACGGAAGTGTTTCCATTTTGGATTTTTTTCAGATTTTGAAATATTTGCATTATATATACTTACTGGTTCAGCATCCCAAAGCTGAAAATCCAAAAATCCAAAATCTGAAATCCTAAATGTCCCAAACAGCATTTCCTTTTAGTATCATATCAGCACTCAAAATGTTTTGAATTCTGAAGCATTTTGGATTTCAGATTTTCAGATTAGGGATACTCAACCCATCCACACAGCCTAGGTGTGCAGTAGGCTACACAAATCCAGGTTTATGCAAGTACATTCAATTATGTTCGCACAACAATGAAATCACCTAACAACACATTTATCAGAATGTATCCCCATCATTAAGCAATGTATGACTGTATATAAAAAAGAGTATACATGGAAAAATATATTCCTGTTTTTTGTTACAAGAGCTCATATAGTCGAACTAAGTGTGCAAGTGATGTTAACTATCCTATTTCCTCACTACACAATCTTAAATCCTTGTATCCAACTTTTACCCCTCACTGTACTTAAAACACTCTCTTAAAAAAATACTTTCTTCTAGCCCTCAAATAAAAAGGCCTGTTATTAGTTCCTATTATTTCTACTGCAATCAACACTGCTGAGTATTTCTTTCTTAAAATACCATTTCCCTGATTTCTGAGATATTTTGCTTTCCTGTTTTTCCTTCTATTTTCTGAACGATTTCTTCTCTATCTCCTCCTTCATTGATTCTACTTATTTCCACATCCCAAAATGCAGATAAAAATCAACTGTTCCTTTATCTTCTGTCTACATTCACTCCTTCTATATTCTCTTCCTTAATATTACCTACTATCTGTCTCAACAATTTCTCTGCTAGGCTTATCATCCATGTTTTTGCAGATGGGAGAACTGAAATATTGAGGGGTTAGGTGACTCGTATAAGGTCACACAACTAGTAACTGACACAGTCAGGATCTAAGCATAGGTAGTTTTGTTCTGGTGTAACCACTACCACCTCCAACAGTAGTCAGTGGAGGCATGACTGCAACATCAACTTAAATTGATCATAAAATTTCCATTTCTTCCTCCTACTATCAATGGCAACAACATTTACATTAATTAGGAATGATTTTGTTGCAAGTGACAAAGAAAGAAATAATAGAAAACAATAACAACAATGTCAAATAATACGAACTGTTTTCACCAGCCTGACATTGCTACTTTGATTAATTGATGTCAGATGAACAGCTTCTACAATTCTCTTGGCCTTTCTCTCTGAATCAAATAGGACTGTTGAAACCCCAAGTGTTTAGTTTAAATTCAAGGAAGGGGCAGGTAGATGTAAGAGGACAGCACTGCATCTACATCCCATTACAGCAGGAGAGCAAAAGCCTTCCCAGAAACTTCCAGCACACACCCACTTATATTTCACTTACACCAAACTATTTCTAAAGAAATAGGAGGCTAGAAAAGCGAGTATTTGGTGGGTACTGTCACTGCAAACAAAATCAGGATTCTTTAGCAAAAAAGAAAGAGGGATGAGTATTGAACAGATAACCAATGGTGTTTGTACACCATTCAGAGATGAGAACCACAATAAAAATAAAACCGGCTCATGTGCTAAGGAAGGACTGGAAGGTTTCTTTAAGATGTGTTGTCAGAAAAGACCAAGCTGCAACCTGAATAACCAGCAGTCCCCAACCTTTCAGGAACAAGGGACTGATTTCATGGAAGACAATTTCTCCACGGACTGGGGGGGTGGGGATGGATTCAGGATGATTGAAGTGCATTACATTTATTGTGTACTTTATTTATATTATTACATTGCAATATATAATATATATAATGAAATAATTACACAACTCACTATAATGTAGAATCAATGGGAGCCCTGAGCTTGTTTTCCTGCAACTAGACTGTCCCATCTGGGGATGATGGGAGACAGTGACAGATCATCAAGCCTTAGATTCTCATAAGGAGCATGCAACCTAGATCCCTTGCATATGCAGTTCACAATAGGGTTCACACTCTTATGAGACTCTAATGCCACCGCTGATCTGACAGGAGGCAGAGCTCAGGTGGTAATGCGAGTAGTGATGGGGAATGGCTGTAAACACAGAGGAAGCTTCGCTCGCTAACCCGCCGCTCACCTTCTGCTTGCAGCCTGGTTCCTAACAGGCCACAGACTGGTACGAGTCCATGGTCCAGGGGCTGGGGGCCCCTGTGAATGACAATAAGGAGCCAGACATAAAAGTTCTGGGCGAAGAGCACTCTAGGCAGGGAAATCAGAGTGTAAAGGTCCTAGGATGCCAGCAAACTTTGCATGTTCAAAGAACAGAAAGCAAGCCAGCGTGGCTTGCAGGTAGAGGAAAACAGTAAGGATGGTACACAAGGGCCAGATCACTCAGGTCCCTGTAAGCCAAATTAACACATGATTTGGGTTTTACTGTTCCCTTAAACAGACTACCTCATAAACATCCTACCATAGATTTCCCCCAACATTTGACCTTGGTGGTTCTGCTCAGGATGTTTCTATCATCTAGTCATCCTTCATACTTCTTGTCTGATTGTACCAAACTCCATCAGTAAAGTTCCAGTCCAAGTTCCACTGACAACTATCTCACTCTACAGTGATTATTCCCTTCTCCAAAGTCCTATACATTTGTCTAGTATAATGTAAGGATCACAAACATGCACTGTGGAGTTGGACAGTATCAGTTCAAAACTTGGCTGATACTTATTAACTGTGTAACCCTGGGCAAATTACTATACCTGTCTCATTTTCCTTAGCTGTAAAATGCCAGTAATGATAGTATCTATCTCACAGAGTTGTTGTGCAGATTAAATCAGCTAATATATGTAAAGTACTTAGAGGATTGCCTGGCATCTAATGTGTTGGCTTTATCATTATTATTGAACTATCATAATATTAGTCTTCTGGCATTTAATTGTACAGTCATTTATCTTTAACCTCCATTTCATGTCTCCCCAAATAAACTATAAGCTGCTGAAGATTTCAAAAGTACGCAGAGTTTCTATCATTAGATCCTGGAAGTAAAAAAGATCTATGAAATTTAAAAAGTCACTCAGATTTCATGTGGAAAACACAGAACTAGAAGGAGGACCTCTAGGTGAACATAAGCCTGAAACACTAAAGTGATTTCAAAAAGACCTTAACCAAAATAGTGATGGGCATGGGAAACTGTGTACCACTGGAGAAAATGGGAGTAACTGTCCTAGAAGGGGAAACAACCCTATTATCTTATTCTATAAGACTACAGAGCAAACCTATTCTCTTACTCTATAAGACTACATACAGGCTGATTTCGATTCACCAAAAGAAGAAATTTTTTAACAATAAGGGTCTATCTGAAAACTGAAAATACTTCCAGGAAAAGTCATTAGCTCACTATAACCTGAAATAAAGATTAGATACTCAACTGTCTGGAACATGGACTGATGTATAAATAGGAGACTATACAGCATAGTGCTTATGAGCACACAGTCTTGAGTTACTGTCTCAGGTGAATCGCAGTACCACCGTTTATTAGTTGTGGCCTTTGTCAACACTGCTAAACCTTTCTAAATGTAAGATTCCTTATCTGTAAAATGGAGACAAAAGTACGTATCTCAGAAGGTTTGGTTGGTTAAATGAGATAATATACCATAGGTGAAGACTCAACAAATGTTAGCTTTGGACTGAATAACTTCTAAGATCTCAGGGATTCAATGGCTATAACATAAATTGTGTTTTGCAGCTAGAAGACAACTGGCCACATGTAAATTTTTCCCCTGTGCTGATATGCATTCCATAATCAAATAATTCATTCCCTAGTACATTTTCATTTGTGATTTCCTGTCCTCAAACACCAGCGCTACTAGGTAATAAGTTTAACAATGAACAGGTAATGTTTATCCTTGAATTACCAAATGATTATTTAATAATCATTAAATTGAGAACAAATGAAAAAAATAAGAATAAAAGGGGGTATGAGATAAAATAAAAAATAATCTACATCAGGCCATTTACAGCACAGCAGAGCAGGGGAAATACAACCTAAGTTTGTGAGTTAGGAAGGAGATGTGTTGGGATACCCATGAAAAGTAAGCAAATTCATCTTGCAGAACTTGGAGAGCAACAGTACAGAACGGCCAAAGACGTCATGGAAAGCAGAGGTGAGACCCAAAACTAAAAACAAGGAAACTGATAAAAACTTGTATGAACTCAATTCCCAGGTCCCTCCTTGCAACCAATACCCTTCTTCACCCCCCTCTCCAGCCATCCCCCATACACAAAAATAAAGATTTATTCTTTGGAAAAACTGAATAGATAATGATATGAACTCCAGTACACCAGACACAGTGATGACTTCAGAAGCTGAATAATTAAGTGTCAGTCTAAAAATAGGAAACCGTAGGGTCCTCAGTATCCTTCACTTCCTGCTCCTGGAGCTAGAGCAGACAACATATATTCATTCCACAGGCTCTTAAGAGACGGCAAAACTTTTCTTTGAGAAAACGAAACAACTCCAGAGAAAAGACCACCACTTACTAACATGTAAGGGTCACCCAACAAAAAGGCAAGCTCATTACATGATCATCCTAGTATGAAAGTTAACAGCTAAAAAGCCAAGCTCAAACACACAGAGCTTCTACTCAGCTTTTTAGTGCCTTACTATTAAATATAAACAGAGAGAAGGTCACTAGTCATTTGGGGGAAAGCATATAAAGAAAAACCAGATGATTAAAAGAAAAAACAGCTGGACGTGGTGGCTCATGCCTGTAATCCCAGCACTTTGGGAGGCCGAGGTGGGAGGATCACAAGGTCAGGAGATCGAGACCATCCTGGCTAACACGGTGAAACCCCGTCTCTACTAAAAATACAAAAAATTAGCCGGGCATGGTGGCAAGTGCCTGTAGTCCCAGCTACTCGGGAGGCTGAGGCAGGTGAATGGCATGAACCGGGAGGCGGAGCTTGCAGTGAACCAAGATCGCGCCACTGCACTCCAGCCTGGGTGACAGAGCAAGACTCTGTCTGAAAAAAAAAAAAAGAAAGAAAAAGAGAAAAGAAAAAACAAAACCATGAAAGAGTCCAGAAGGAAGCATAAACAACAAAAGAAACAGAAGAAAACTTCAAAATTACTATTTTATAGTAATTACAAAATTACTATAAAAATTACTATAATTAATTTTCTAGGGGAAAAGAGAAAATACATCCAAAAAAAGAAAGGAATTCTATGAAAAAGGAATAGAAAAAATATCAATAACAACTAAAAATGTAAGCATCCTAATTGAAATTTAAGAACAACAGAATAGGTAGAAGGTAAAGCAGAGGAAATCTTCCAGTACAAAAATATGAAGACCATGAGAAACAAAAGGAAAAAAGAGAAAAACTAGGGAGCAATTCAGAAGGTCCAAACTGTATAATAAGAGTTCCAGAAGGTAAGAACAAAGAAAACAGAGGAAACGATTATTTTTAATTTCAAAGACATTTCCCATAATGGAAGAAAGCAGGACAATCAATGACAAAGAATGCAAACCAAGACACATAATGAAGCTTCAAAATATTAGGGATAAATAATTGTAACTGGCCGGGTACAGTGGCTCATGCCTGTAATCCCAGCACTTTGAGAAGCTGAGGCAGGAGGATTGCATGAGCCCAGGAGTTCACGACCAGCCAGGGCAACATAGTGAAACCCTGTCTCTACAAAAAATGTAAAAATTAGCTGTTGTGGTGGTACACACCTGTGGTCCCAGCTAGTCAGGAGGCTGAGGTGGGAGGATTGCTTGAGACCACGAGGTCGGGGCTGCAGTGAGCTATGATTGCACCACTGCACTCCAGCCTGGGCAACATAGCAAGATCCTGTCTCAAAAGTAAAAATAACAGTAATAATTATAGCTAACACGTTAGTGCTCCTATAAACCAAGCACTAGTCTATTAAATCTTTAATCCTCATAATGATGTTACAGAGAACGGTGGCTATTAGTATTTTCATTCCATGAGAAAACTGATGCACAAAGAAGTGCAGCAATGCACCTAAAGGTACACAGCAATTAGGTGATGGAGTTGGGATTCCAACCTGAAAGCTCTCAGAGAAAAAAAAAATTTCATTTGGCGTAAAATAATGCAGAATGACATCAAACTTCTCAACAACACTAAATGCTAGAAGGGAGTGGAACAATGCTTCTAAAGTTCAGGGGAAAATTATTTTCATTTTAGAATTCTGTATCTAATTAAATTATCAATAAATTAAAAGATAAAGCTGGTCGACATGCAGGAATTCAAAAAATTTACCATCTATGCATCTTTTTCATAGGAAGGCACTAGAAAATATGCTCCAGCAAGAGAAAGGAATAAACTAAAAGATTCAGAATATAGGAGATCAAATACAGGAAAGTGGCATCAGGAAGTTCCAAACTGACCACTCTGCACCAGGCCTGGAGAACAGTTAAGGTGAGAGTGAATAGAAAACAGAAATGAGCAAATCTCCAGAAAAAAAGAGATTTTTCCTATGTTTATAATTACGAAAAACTTACCGCTAGGTAGTTGACAGATATAACTGAACATTTAGAAAAAAAAAAAATAGGTAAAAACAGAACTAAGGAAATGAAAAAAGGGGAAAGGAGTACTAACTCTAAGAAATACAAAGGATAGGAAAAAAGAAATGTAATCATAGCACATTATGTGATTAGTAAACAATATTATGGAGGCATAATGTGAACACTGAATAGTGACTAACCAAAATCTATGTTATAACTGTAGTGGGAGTATGGCTAGGAGAAGAGAAACCAGGTGAAAGGGTATGGGAAGAGAGTTAAATCCTCAAGTACTATAACTAAAAAATAACAAAGAATGTCTACAGTGGACTAATCAAGAAACTGCAGAATAAGCACATTACAGCAGGTTCCCAAATAATGTCATTTTGTTCAACATTGTGTGATTATAATGTTCATGAAGAAAAAAAATCAATTCCCAGCCAGAGCCACTATCTGTGTGAAGTTTGCATATTCTCCTCATGCCTGTGTAAGGAGGTTACTCCAAGTTCTCCAGTTTCCTTTCACATCCCAAACATGTGCACATGAGGTGAGCTGGTGTGTCTGCACTGATCCGGTCTGGGAGAATAATGGTGTGTGTATGAGTATACCTTACTCCGGGTAGCTTCCCACCTTGCGTCCTGAGCCTCCAGAATAGCCTCTGGCCACCTACAACCTGAACTGAATAGGCCAGCTGGAGAATGAACGAATGAATGAATGAATGAATGAATACAAATTATTGCCAAATAAAAATGTGTAAGGTATACAACAATCACACAAATGCTTGACAATAAACACACGGTAACAAGGCACTCAGTAAGCCTGCCAGATTTGTGATTGTTCTGGAACTGTGTGGTGGTAGGAGGTGCTTCTTACAATTTTCGCTTTGCAAACTATTCCTTGATTTAACCCACCACCACGACTGCTGTTGCTCACTGATCCACCAACAATTGTAAGATAAACAATTATCTTACATAAACAATTATCTTACATTCCTTTTTTTCTAAGCTTTGTTTTTCTTGGAGTTAGTATTCCCACTCCTTTTTCATTTCCTTAGTTCTCTTTGTAGCTATTTATTTTTTTTAAATGTTCGGTCATCTCTGTGAAATATCTCAATCTTTCTTAAATACAAGTACAGCTCACATTTATTTCAATGTTTAATAGTAGAAGTATTTAAGTCTTTATTGTAAGTTTGGTGATGCTTCTGTGACAAGAACTATGTCTTAGGAACTTAACTCTTGTTTATATCAATTATCCTATGGTAAAACCAGTTTCATTTTATATCATTTCACTTAAAGTTACAGTTTCCAAGAACCTATCAATGATGTTAAGGGAAGACTTATTGTTCTTAGAAATGCAGAGTTAAAATTCTAAATAAATAGCTAAAAGAGTTAAAAGTGAATATACCTGAGGAGGTATTCTTTGGAGTGGGAAGTAAAATGGCAAGGGACTCCTGATTTTCAGCATAAGCCTTTTATCGCAATTTCCATTTTTAAAGTTAGTGTATGTACTACTTTAATAAATATGAAAACTAATTTTTTGAACAAAACATATTTTGAGTTGTGCACTGAATAAAAGGACTATCCCAAGTTTTAAGATAAATCCACAGCAATTTAAGGAAAATAGAAGAAGTAGGTAAAAACACACTGTAGATTTTCTATAACTCAATCACTGACCTCTTTACTAACTTATAAGACAACTTTATAACAAAGTCTTTTTAATTCATTTCTTCATTCAACAAATATGATTTACTGACCTTCTACAATGTGATAGCCAGTGCTAAGCACTGGGGATACAAAAAGAAACAAAATCAACAAAATCCTTCCCTTGTTGAGATGACATTCCAGTGGAATAAACAGATGATAGATAACTAAACAGAATGTGTGTGTATGTGTATGTATATATATATATATATATATATATATATATATATATATATATATATACATACATACACACACATACATACATGATACAGCAGAATATATACGTATATGTGTATAGTGATATGTGCTAAGGAGAAAAATAAAACAATGAAGGAAGGCAATTACGAAGTATAAAGGGTGCCCAGGGAAGGCCTAAGAATGTGACACTTGAGTAAAGATCTGAAAGAAGGGAGAGAACCATGAGAATATCTGTAGGAAGAGAATGCCAGGCACAGGAAACAAACGAAACCCGTGAAACAGGGGCGGGCACTGATCATTTTCAAGGAGACTAGTGTGGCTGGACTTGAGAGAGTTAGGGAAAATGGTAGGGAATGAGTTCAAAGAGGCAGCAGGGAGAAGCAGAGATTCCATTTATATAAAGCCTTGTGGGTTTGTAAGAGTTTGGGCTTTTACTCTGAGTTAAAAAGCTACTGTAAGGTTCTTTAAAAAATTAACACAATCTTAGTTACATTCTAAACAAAATCACTCTGGCGGCTATGTTGATTCTAGACTGTAGACAGAGCAAGGGAGATCAGTTAGGGAGCTACCGCAATAATCTCAAGGAAGATGTGAGGATGGGCCAGGGTAATAATGAGAGTGGTGAGAAATTATCAAATTCTAAGTATATTTTAAAGAAGAGATGATGGGATTTGCTGATGCATACGACATGGGGTTTGTGAGACAGAGCAAGGGATCCAGTTTTTAGGCTGAGCACCCAGGAAAATGGAGTTGTCATTTATTTAGTAACCAAATTATTTTCATTTGTTATTTTACTTTATTTTATAATTTACTTCAGTACCATAATTTCTTTGGATGAACAGAAGATAAAACTTTAATCTCATGTCTCTCTCTAAATAGTACTCATAAAATTCTAATGAAATAGAAACAAAACTTCTGTGTTAAAAATTTTTAAAATATTTTTAGTTTATAGTCACACCTTACACCTTAAAAGAAATAACTAAAACAAGTATTTTATAAATATACTAATTAGGAGCATCATAATGGCGTAGCTTGTATCAAATCAACCCTACCACCAAGAACCACCACAAGAAATGGATAAAGTACAGCCAGGTGTAGTGGCTCACGCCTGTAATCCTAGCACTTTGGGAGGCTGAGGTGGGTGATCACCTGAGGTCAGGAGTTTGAGACCAGCCTAGCCAACATGGTGAAACACCAGCTCTACTAAAAACACAAAACTTAGCTGGGCGTGGTGGCAGGCACCGGTAATCCTAGCTACTCAGGAGGCTGAGGCATGAGAATCACTAGAATCCGGGAGGCAGAGGTTGCAGTGAGCCAAGATCGTACTACTGCACTCCAGCCTTGGGGATAGAGTGAGACTCTGTCTCCAAAAAAAAAAAGATAAAGTATGATAGATAAAAAAACTGTTGGAAAGCATCTGAGAGCAATTAAAACAATTTAAGTCTTGAGAAATAAAAATCTTAGAGAGGCAAAGTCTATTAAGAAATTAAAGAAGCCAGAGATAATGGAATAAATATCTTTAAGATACTGAAAGAAAACAACTGTTAACATGGAATTCTATATCCTGTAAAAATATCCTTCAACAACAAAGGCAAGCTCTTCGTCTTCCCTTCCCCTCCCAAACAATTCATTTTTAAAGCCACTAGATGGGGCTGGGCAAAGCAGGTATGCATGCCCGGGTGGAAGAAGTCATTCTGGTCAACTGGGTATGTTGAAGACAGACTGGAACCTGGCAGGCGGCAGACATCACTTTAACCAAGGGGTCAAAGTTAGCATCACCAATAAAGAAACAATAAAAATAAAAATCGCATGCCATTCACCAAGAAACAATCAGAAAAACATAGCATCACTTTGGTGATATATCTGGCAAAGATGTATAACCTGAAATTAATGATGAAACTGTACAGACAAACCCAAATTGAGAGGACAATCTACAAAATTTTCAAAAGTGTCCTGTAAAAAAACTAAGAAACATGTATCCTGTTATCTTCAAAAATATAATGTGAAAATCAAAAAAGATGATTAACTGTTCTAGATTAAAGAAGATTTAAGACATATAAATGTAAGGTATTATTGTGAACTCAATCTTTTTGCCACCTGGAGCATTACTGGGACAACTGGTGAAACCTGAATAGTTTCTTGGGGATTAAATGGTGATAATGTACAATGCCACTTTCCTGATTCTGATAGTTATATTGTGGTTATGTAGGAGAATGTCTTTATTTCTAAGCAAGAAGTGCACACTCAACTATTCAAGGCTAATGGGGCATCATGCTAGCAACTTATTCTCAAATGGTTCAGGAAAAAAAATTATTTGCATTATATTTACAACTTTTCTATAAATTTGCTATTGTTTCCATTTTTAAATGAAGGCATAAAAAAGATGTGTTCAAACAAAAGCTGAGAGAATTTATCACCAGGTAACAGCATTAAAAGAAATAATAAAGAAAGTTCTTCAGAGACAACCAAAATGATCCCAAAAGGAAGCAGAGTAAAACAGGAAAAAAATGAAGGGCATCAGAAAGGGTAATACTGACTCTTTAAAACACAATGCCTTGTGGAATTTAAAATCCTACAGGACTCAAGTTTTTGATGACACAAAGTACAAAAACAGAATTTAAGGTAAGAAATATTACTAAGAGATAGAGGAACATTTAAAGTTGTAATTCAATAGGAAGACCTAACAGTCCTAAGTTTGTATGTAACTAATAGCAAAGCCTCAAAATGTATAAAACAAACAAACAAAAAAGAACTTAAAGGAGAAACAGACAACCCTACCATCACAATAGGAGGCTTTTATAACATGTCTTTCTGTAATTTAAAAACCATACGGGAAAGAAAAAAGAACATAAAAGATTTCAACAACATAATTAACTACTCAGACATGAGGGGAGGTAGGGAGGAAGATTATTAATAGAAGATTAGACACAGTGTTAAATAGAACTATTCCATAGAGATGCTGAAGTCTGAAGAAGGCAGAGAACGGAAGAGTGGTTGTTTTGGAGGCACTTCCAGTAAACCTGACTTCATCATACTCATCTGACCTTCAAGTTTTCCACTCTCAACTCTCCCGGACCATTTGCCTCCCTGTCCACAGGGATTTCCACAGTTGACCATTTCAACGAAATAAAAGATACTACTAAACTGACTTGAAATTCTGCTCTCCCAAACACGCCAAACTCTACTGTTCACTTTACCTACTCCTAATTCATGGCTTCCAAGAGTCTTAAAGCAAGACATGAAACTCTATTAGGTCCATTATGATTAGAAAGACACTCACTCTTCTCCTGGTGATTTTTTACTCATTGTGTGGTAGATTTAAATAGGGCAGGTTTCATGGGCATGTTAATATCCTTACAAAAAATGCAGTGAATATATACTATTAAACGTTTTTTGCACTCCCGAAATTAAATTATGTCTCTTCTATTTTTCTTTCTCATGACACTGTATTTTCTTCTCGATGAAACTTTTAATTTTTGTTATACACTTGTGTGTTTAATGTCCACTGGACTATAAGTTCATGAAGCCAGGAGTCACAACTATCTTGTTTACCACTGCATATCCAGCTCCAGACAGACATTCAACAAAATGAACACTTACTATGAGCTGAGCACCGTTCCAGATGCTTTAGGATATGTCAGTGCTTCGACTTATGGTTTCTGTTTTTTATTTATTCTCAATGCTTCAGTAAGACTTATGCTTTTTTGTTCTGTTTTGTTTGAGACAAAGTCTCGTTCTCTCGCCCAGGCTGGAGTGCAATGGCACAATCTTGGCTCACTGCACCCTCCACCTCCCGGGTTCAAGTGATTTTCGTGCCTCAGCCTCCTGAGTAGCTGGGACTACAGGCACACACCACCATGCCTGGCTAATTTTTGTATTTTTAGTAGAGACGGAGTTTCACCATGTTGGCCAGACTGGTTTTGAACTCCTGACCTCAGGTGATCTGGCCACCTCGACCTCCCAAAGTGCTGGGGTTACAGGTGTGAGCCACTGTGCCCTGCCCAGTATGACTTATGTTTTGAAAGAATTACCAGGGCTGCTGAATTGAGAACCAGCTAGAGGCAGGGAAGTGAGGCTTGGAAACTACATAAGAGATCACTGAAGTAACAATAGTGTCTCAGACCAGTGTTGCAAGAGCAGTAGGGAAGGTGGTGAAAAGTGGTCTGATTCTAGATATACTTTGAATATATAAGTTGTTATGAGATGTGAGAGAGAGAAGGGAGGTAAGAATAATCCAAGGCTTTGGCCTGAGCAGACAGTGGATAAATTTGCCATCAAATGAGACAAGGAAAACTGTGAGCAAAACAGGCTTCAGAAGGAAGATCAGGAATTTGATTTTGGAAACGTACGCCAGATGTATAAGGGACACTGAATAGCAACTGGACATTATAATATAAAATTTGGAAAACAATTTTGGGCTAAAGATACGATCTTGGACTATAACTGATATTTAAAGCTATATGACTGCATGAGATCATCAAGATAAAGAAGATATCAGAACTAAAGGATAAGCCCTAAGCTATTCCAACATTAAGAGGCTGGGGAAGAAAGCAGGCAAAGAAGACTAAAGAAGGAGCAACCAGTAAAGAATGAGAAAAACCAAAAGAGTTTGGTGTCCTGGAAGCCAATGTGAAGAAGGTGTAGGAGGGTGAAGTGGATGTTCACCTACATCAAATGCTTCTCTTATGACAAGTAGAATGAACTCTGAGATTCGACCAATGGACTTGGCAACGTAGGGTCATTAGTGACCTTGAAGAGGAATTCTGGTGGAGTCATAGGGATGAAAACACTCACATATTTGCTGACTAAATGAATCACCATATTAATGAACTATTAATTTGTTCCCCTGGTCACCTAGATGTAAAACAGACTTGTCTGTGAGCTCTCTCTTTCCCTCACCACTTTCTAAGTGGCTGTCTTACTGATTCTACCTTTGGGAGGCTGACACAGGAGGATCACCTGAGGTCAGGAATTCAAGACCAGCTTGGTCAACATGGTGAAACCCTGTGTCTACTAAAAATACAAAAATTAGCCAGGCGTGGTGGTGCACACCTGTAATCCCAGCTTCTAGGGAGGCTGAGGCAGGAGAATTGCTTGAACCCGGGAGGTGGAGGTTGAAGTGAGCCAAAATCGCGCCCCTGCACTCCAGACTGGGTGACTGAGCAAGACTCCATCTCAAAAAAATAAATAAATAAAAATAAATAAAACATATACAAGTTCTAAATGTGAAACATAAAACTTCTGGAAGGAGTATAGGAGAATATGTTTATGACTTTTGCTTATTAAAGATTTCTTTGATACAAAATTCAAAAACCATAAAAGTATTATTAATTTGACTATATTAAAATTAAAGACACAATTAACAAGTAAAAATAGCGGCCTAGAAGAATATATTTGTAACGTATAAAGCCAACAAAGCAGTAGTATCTAGAATTGTAAAGATTTCCTTCATATCAAATAGCCCTATAAAAAAATAGAGAAAAAGAATGAATGGGAAATTCACAAAAGAGGAAACAAATGGGCCAATAAACTTTGATTAAATATTCAACCTTAGTATCAATCAGGGAAATATAAATTAAAACTACAAAGAGGTACTATTCATATCCACGAGATTGGTTAAAATTTTAAAGTTTGACAATATCAAGTGTTGATAAGGATGTTAAGAAATTCTTATATACTGGTTGGCATGATCACTCTGGAGAGTATTTAACAACATACAGCAAACCTAAAAATATGCTTATCTTATGACCCAGAAATTCCACTGTAATGTATCTAGTATATCTAATGTAACCCTACTTAAAGTATTATATATGCACAAAGAGATATGTACAAGAATATTATTTAAAACATTATTTGTAATTAAACAAATATAACAAGGAGTTTTAAGTTCTCAGAAACAAGCCAGATGACCATCAAAGAAAGAAAGTTTAAATAAAAAGAGTGTATTACAGAATGGACCACTATTCAGCTGTTTAAATGAATAAGCTAGATCAACATGTACGGTTACATAGATAATCTCTAACTCACTGTTAAATAAAAATGTTGTAGATGAATATATATCTCTTTATATAAAAATATCATTAACAAAAAATTTAATAAATGTAAGATAATATGTGTTGTTTATGGATATATAAAGTATGGGTATGATACACTAATTCAGGATAGTGATTACCACTGAGAAGGAAGAAAAGGAATAAGATTGGTGGAAGATAACACACTTATTAATTATATATATAACTTTCTTAAGCTCAGTGGTAACACATGGGTATTTACTATATTATTCTCTATATTTCTGTATGCCTGAAATTTTAAAATTAATTTAACAAAATCAACATATTACTAAAGTACAACTTCTTCAGCTTTAATTCAAGACTCTCCATAGTATTATTCTAATCTACTTTTCTAGACTCTTCCTTCAGTATTTCCTATAACAGTGTTTCCCAAAACTCAGAGACTTATATACCCCTTTCACTATCATGATTAATGAATATTTTTCTTTTCATCATTTTTAACCTAAATAGCCTTGTACAAATCAATAAGTCACACATTTAATATGCCAGTTAATGTTAAGTATTAAAATGTTTGTCCTAGTGCCACCTAAAAACAACATCAAGTGTCACATCTTGGGTTGCCCTGTCTTATGCAAGTGGTTCTCAAATTTGGCACACAAGACTGTGTGGGAGGCTTGCCAGAAATGGAGACTCCCAGGCCACACCTTTAGGGATTTTGATTCAGGCAGTAGAAGCAGAAACCCTGCCTAATATGAAGCCTTGGCACCTACCAAGTTGGACTACTTGCCATTCTCTAGACAAACTCTCCACTTTCCTTCTATACTTTTCCTTTTGGTATTTCCTCAGCTTGAAGTAACCTTCTCTTTCCCTAAGCCAGTAGAAATTAAGCCTATACTTTAAAGCCCTTCTTAAATATGACCATCACAATAAAGTACTTTGACTTAGATGTGACATCTCTCTCATTTCAACCCTCTTCTTTCCTCTATCAATTTATTTCTATTTCCATATGGATGCTTACCATATTCAATGTAATATATGTCTACTTGTCTTATTTCCCCTACTGAAGTATAAACGTTACTTGAGGATGGAAGTTTTACACCTTGTTCAAAAGCAGAGATTGTATCTTGGTCATTTTGTGCTCTGTATATGATAGTTATGCAGATACTTGCTAGACTGAATTCTGCTAAACACTGAATTGGTTTAACAATTTTTATTAATATTTTAAAATCATATAGCATAAGGAGTTATTCGTTCATAGGGTATTACGAATTAAACATGAGACTCTAGACTACCAGCTTCATTTTCAAAATGAGAAAACTGAAAAGATACATCTTATACAGAAACAAATAATTTTAAGTTATTTTAATTTTTAAGGGTTAAAAACAATGATTGAACTAAAACTGCCAAATTCAGTTTTTAAGAAAAAAAGGCAAGTGCTTAACTTATAACCTTCCAGGCAAAAGAAACTGTGTCATTAACTGACATGGTGAGTTTTTGATACTGCTACAAAAAGCTATTGACTTAAGAAGAACACTATTATTAAAGCAAAGTTAATTGATTCTTACAAAATTCTCAGTACTTCCAAAAGACATTTCAACATAATTTCTCTTTGCCTTAATGCATATTATTCTGATGCTCAAGAATAATAATTTCTAAGTATTTTTCCAATGTAAAAGCCATAAGTGTCTTTAATTAGAAAATATCAGCACACATTTTTTAATTTTGCTTTTTTTTTTAATTTGGTAATAATAATCTGGTTTGTTTCTATTCCAGGAGTAAACTGCTTTACTGTTTTAAACATATTTATTTTCATCCAGATAGAAAATACATGAATGGAAACAGGGAAATGGGACTTTTTAATGGAAAATGTTCATCAACATCAATAAATATCACAATATCACCTGTATTTGTATACTTTAGCATATACATGATACTTTGTAGAGACAAAGAACTGTCAAACTAAAATATACAAATGCATATACTAATTTCCAGTAATAGGAGGAAAAATGAAAAATATATATTTTGTTATGTTCACCTGGCCTTCCATGTTGAAAAAGGAGAATGAAAAGAGAACAACTGTGAGAAATGAAGAATATGGAATGGTTCCCACATATCTCATTTGTTCCTTTCCTCATTCATTTTCCTGCCACATTCCTGCTAAATTTCCTCTTTCATATGGCAGGTCAAGTAAACTAAATCTAGCTTATATGAAACGTTTTATTTTTTATCATTCCATTTTTACATTGTAAAAATAAAATTTCAACTTACTATGTCCACTTTCCTGAATAAAATTAACTGGAAATAAAGCAGTAATAAGTTACTATTATATATAAGTTCCAGTGAAGAATTCTGAGGTCAGGAGTTCGAGACCAGCCTGACCAACATGGAGAAACCCCGTCTCTACTAAAATTACAAAATTAGCCAGGCATGGTGGCACATGCTTGTAATCCCAGCTACTCAGGAGGCTGAGGCAAGATAATTGCTTGAATCTGGGAGGCAGGGGTTGCAGTGAGCCGAGATCGCGCCATTGCACTCCAGCCTGGGCAACAAGAGTGAAACCTAGTCTCAAAAAAAAAAAAAAAAATTCCCAAAAATGACGAGTATTGGTCTTACATACCATAAAATGATAGCCTAACTACTGGTACAAATAAAGAGCTATCAAACTATGTGTATTTCTTTAAAAAGCAGTCTTTTTTTATTTTCTAAAATACTACATAGAGACAGATATTAAGGTTCCATAAATGTTTTAGCAGTACTCAAGGACCAAAAAAATGTAGAAGTATAAATGTAATGAGAAGAAGTTAAATAAACCTCTTTCAAGGATCCTATAAGTAGAATAGATCAGATTAGACAAGCTTACTGAAAGGTAAAAACACAGCTCATTTGATAAAGCAGTTCTGAGAAATCCAAAAATACCATTTCTCTTTTTAAAAAAATCAAAGAAGCACTTGGACTAACAAGAAATAATGCACAATTTGGCTTGATCAAATACTTCATTAATTTTTTTCCTACCCCTAAGGGATTGCCCTTTTAAAATCTTCTTCAAATAGAATATAACCTAATTGCTTGGACCGGTCTAGCGTTTGCAACAGGATTTTTATTTCAACAGTGCCACCTAGTGGACCAATCAATACTTTCAACTTGTCACTAGATTTCATTTGCCTCAAACGCTAAGATTCCTCAAATGGCTTTATTTTTCAATTCACAATACTCCTAATAATATTAACATTCAAGAGGAAATTTTATAAAAAATTATAATTTACAGGTTTTTGCTTTCTGACAGTCTGTTTCTAATAAAATTAGGTCATTTACAAATATAATATTTTAAATAAAGATACCTTGGTGATTTCTTCAGAAGCTCGTTTGAAGTCCTGAACATTTCGACAGTAAAATCCTATTGTACAGCTGGGATCCATTTTTCGAAAAGACATCTTTTTGGGAGAAGGGCAGTGGAATGTCTGTAATTTTTAAAGTTCTTTAGGATTAATTTATCTTTGATAGACAAGTATATATAAAACTATTATTTAAAATTTTCTATCTAGCTTTTTCCCATCACTATAAACATGATTTTCAAATGGTGTTTTAGTTCATCCTACGCAGATGGTCCTCTCCACTCTGCAAAACTGTAAAATATAAGAGCCAACATTTTTATATATTTAATTCACCAAATTTCAACCTTTTGTGATATTAGTGCCATTCTGCAAAAGAAAGGAAGTGTGTCAAAAGTGGTATGCATTTCTAACACTTGAAAACATGAAAAAGACATGAAAAAAGTATGAGGCTTAGAATCAAGTTAGCCATTTCTATTAAAATGCAGTTAAGTCTGTTTTGTTGGAGATTTTGGGTTAATGTTTATAAACCTTTTAACAAGGATATCGAGACTTTTTAAACAAATACACAGACTCAGGTAAATGTTCTATATTGACATAAAAAGAGGTCAACTTGAGGGTTTTAGCAATTCACACAATTAGTACATAACTGCGTATTCTTCAACTTTCTCTTTGAGTGTGCTTTAATTCTTGTTTCTTCTCAGGGAACAGGCTGGAACAGGTGAAACCATTCCATTATGGTCCCTGCCCTCTTTCTCATCAGTCCTTTTGTCTCTTTAGTTCACTTTTCTCCAATAGACACAGTGCCACAGATATAAATGGGCTGGGGAGGCTGCCCTAGTTTCTCTACTGTCTTGCTAATGGATTTGGCTGTTAGTAGAGTTTGGCATCTTTAGGGAATACAAAAGTAGAAAAAGGGCAGAATATAAAAGTAATCACTGCAATCTTTTTGTTCCTCACAATCACACCTTAGTACTATGTTTAAAAATTTTTTTAATGCTTAAATGCTTAGCCTGTCCTTAAAAATCACTGAAGTGACCAAGTCTTTTTCTGTATGTAGAAAAAATAAGTTTGTGTTAAAAAGAACATAAGACTGTATATTCATATTTATATAAATAAACTAAGGATATACAAAAATTAACAAGTCTGTGGTAAAGGGAGAGAACTGGGCAGATGGGAGATAAGTGTGGGAAATTTTTGAATTAAAGAACAAGCTCAATTAAGAAATAATCTAGGAGCTGGGTGCTGTGGCTCCCATGTACAATCCCAGCTATTCAGGAGCCTGAGGCAGGAGGACTGCTTGAGCCCAGAAGTTTTGAAGCTGCAGTAAGATATGATCGTGCCACTACACTTCAGCCTGGGCAAGAGGGCAAGACTCCAACTCCATTAATGGGAGGGGAGGGGAGGGGAGCTGGATTTGAGCTCATAAAATTATAGTTTCCCTACATTCAATGCCTAAAACTAAGGGATTTTTAACTTCATGCTATCTATTAAAGTGTGGAAAAAATAAGTTGTCATATTTGTTATGTTCATGGTGAAATCAATTAAAATCACTCTTTCTCTCCCTGTACATCCTAGTGACCCAATTTGTATCCCGTATCATCACCAAAAGATATGCAAAATATATACATTCAAGCTGCTTTTTTTTCCAATGAAAAGTTCAACTGCATATTAGATTCAAATCCAACAATATGTCACTCAATATAGGGCAAAATATGAGTTTTCAAAACTATGACTTCTGCAAAATGCTTAGCTAACTTACTTTATATACTGAGATTCAACCTAGCTAAACTGGAACCTCCATGGCACTAGTCAATACAAGTATAATCTTAGTTGGACTTTTTCTAACATTGATCTACCTGTTACATTAGCAAAGAAATATTTAAAACAGAACTAGAAAAGCACAGAAAAGCTAAACAAACTGGTTAGTTAACAATTTACAGGAATATGAGTATATTAGGGTATATGGCACAGTTCTAAGTCATATTTATAAGAAATTATTCTACATACATGGTATCTACAAATAACCATTTGCCCAGCTCATTCGAAAGACAATCACAAGGAATGTTTCTTAACTTTTTTACCAGTTGGGGATAAGAAGGAGGGCCAAAAGCTTGTACATGGTCTAATAATATATTTTTGAACTCATCTACAAAGGGTATTCTATATTATACTAAAGCACTGGTAAAAGTTTTCATGTAAGAACTTGAGTCAGGCTCATGCCTGTGCCCAGAAATTCAGAAGGCTGAGGTGGGAGGATTGCTTGAGGGCTGAGGTTTGAAACCAGCTTGTGCATCATGGCAAGACCCCACCTCTAAAAAAAAATTTTAAATAGCCAGGTGTGGTGGCATTCACCTATAGTCCCAGCTACTTAGGAGGCTTAGGTGGGAGAATTGCGTAAGCCCAGGAGTTTGAGGTGCCAGTGAGCTATGGTGGTGCCACTGCACTCCAGCCTGGGTGACAGAACAAAACTCCATCTCTAGAAAATAAAAATTTTTTAATTTTAAAAGGCTTTTCATGTAAGAACCAATAATACTAAACCAGAATAGTCTTATTACTATCTCACTGTACTGACTACAACCATCATAGATAATAACAAACACTAAATTGTTATTCATGGTTGTTTTAATATCTACAAAGAACTTTTAAAATATTCACAAAAACACAGATATAAATCTCTGATCACTTAAACTGATATTGGGTATTGCGGCATGAGCACTAGGACTCATACAACAGAGAGGCATTTTATATCATTTAAACTTTTTTTTTTTTTTTTGAGATGAAGTTTCACTCTTGTCGCCCAGGCTGGAGTGCAGTGGTGCGATCTCTGCTCACTGCAACCTCTGCCTCCCAGGTTCAAGCAATTCCTCTGCCTCAGCCTCTCGAGTAGCTGGGATTACAGGTGCGCACCACCACGCCCAGCTAATTTTTTTGTATTTTTAGTAGAGACGGGGTTTCACCATGTTGGCCAGGCTGGTCTCAAACTCCTGACCTCAGGTGATCCACCTGCCTTGGCCTCCCAAAGTGGAGGGATTACAGGCGGGAGCCATCATGCCTGGCCATTCATATCATTTTGTTCATCCAAGAAGATTCAAAGGCCAACCAACATGAATTTACAATTCACAATCGTTGTCTATTGCAGAACAAGTTAAACTTTCAAATATTTTCCTAATTCAGGGCTATGTTCACTTCGTGATAATTTTTGAGCTATGCACTTAAGATTTTTTTTAATTTTTAAAATTCTAATGATTGGTAAGAGGAGTAGCATCTACTTGACAAACGCACTTTAAGGAGTATTCACTAGATACACTTCTGTAACAGTGTTTCTGGAAATACTGGCCAGAGAGAATCAATTCCCATTTATTTCATTTTTTGATACATTGTTTACCAATTGCCCTAATAGTTATTAGGCACCTACAAAATGACAGGCACTATTCTAGGCTTATTGTTTAGAATAGTGAAGTCTAATTACCTAAACATACCAAAACCATACTGAAACATATGCTTATAGGTACAGCTATGCTATTTTGGTGATTCAGATGAAGCTTCCTAAGACAGTTAATTAGAAAATACCCTTAGTAAAAAGTACCTACTGATAATTAACCGGGTATGGTGGCACCCACCTGTGATCCCAACTACTTGAGTGGCTAAGGTGGAGAGATCGCTAAAGCCCAGGAGGTCAAGGCTACAGTGGGCTGAGATTACACACTACGCTCCAACTGGAGTGGTAACAGAGCAAGACCCTATCCTCCACCCAAAAGACAACATAAAAAAAACCTACTACTAATTGCAGTTCACATGTGTAATTCATAAAGGGTATTATCTTTCACTGAAGAATTCACTCATCCAATCTAGATGCCCACATCACGTAATTCTAATAGTTTTACTGCCAATATTTCTGAATTTCCTAAGGTAGATTAAAACAGTTACCACTGTATGAACCTCCTAAAATTTGACATTTGGAATTGGGGACCCAGCAATCAGAACAAACTGACATGTCTATTAATAAAGCTTTTCTTACATACCCTCACTGCCAAAGCCCATTTGAGGTCTCTTCTCACTCCCTTCTAATTTCAAGTTGTTCTTTGATGACTTTTGTTTAAGGTTGTTCATGCTGCTCCTCTGAACCTCATTTTCTGTTTGAAAATTACAGTGTGAGTTTCTACATTATAATGTGCCCTCACACTGAACCATGTGCTCCATTCCTCAGTCCTAACCAAAGATATCCCTGGCATATCTTCACTACTAGACTTAGGATCCAAATATAACTGCTGATGTTCACTTCACAATGTGTTAAAAACTCACTGAAGATAGCTAAAAATGAGGAAGAGTCTCTTAAAAGTTAGTATAGAAATTCAATAGGATATACTAATTTATTTCAGAAGAAAATGTCACAAGAATTAAACATTAATAGAAATGTATATAATCAAAACACTTGGAATCACAGAGAAGAAAAGAGTTCAACAGAGGACTCAAGGGCTTAGGAAAGTCCCTTGCACCTAGAAAGAGCTCATTAAAAAAGAAAGAAATGAGTTACTCTGATTTGGTTTCAAAATGTTAAGAGTTCAATTCTAGAAATGTAGAAATTCAACACTGTAAGAACAACAAAAAATGCAATCTGTTTAAATCTCTTCTTTAATCTCAAATATTCTCATATCATCCCACTTCCTTAAAATTTCACAATCTATTAGATTTAGGGCACTCAAAATATCAGAGGACTACCACCAATTATTTATGTGGAATCAGTGGATGATTTAAGGTTTCAATTTCTCCATCTATTAACCAAAAAAATACTGACCCAAAAAGTTCCCTATAAAAATGATTTTAATAATTGAAGTATAAGGGTGGTTTTAGAATATGCATATAATTTTTTACATTAATCAACTACATAATTTCACTAGCTATAAATATACAAGCAGTATAGCAAAGCAAGGATGGTTAGTAATACAGGGTAGTTAAAACACCTTCAATTGGTGTATTATAAACTTAAAAGATGATAAAAAGCAAAAAGTGAAATTTTATTCCTCTACAACTTGATATAATTTTTATATTATACTTTCATAGGAAAACAAGTGATGCTATAACTAAAATAAATCCCTTCACTGCAGAAAAATAAAAATTTTTAACAGGAATTTTCCACACAGATTAAGATATTCTACCAGGATCTTAAAAATATAACATCTATAAACCCATTCTATAAGTGTCCCACTATATAAGAAATGTTTCTGTGCATTTAAGAAGTCAATTTTAACAAATTTTACCTTACACAGTAAAATCTTAAAATCAATTATTCCTTTCCATTTTCACTATCACCAGCCTACTTCAAACCTTTATTATTAATAACTCCCTCTTGGAGTGTTGCAACAGTCTCCCAATAATGAGTTGAAGCCTTTCTAATTTTGATTGTATACACATAGCCAGGATATTCATTCACTTGGTATCTTTGCAGTCTCTCAAAATATCAGATGGATAATTTCTCTCTACTGGCCAAAATAATCAGACCAATAATCTTTTAATTTGCTTATTTAGGTAATACTAAAATACTAAGAACAATTTTCCATCTAAATCTCAAGTACCTACTGTTTATAAGGAGTCAATTTGGCACTGATCTACTGGAAATGTAACTTGGACACAAGAATCAGTGCTACAAGACCACAAGGCAGAAAGAGAATTACGATGTAGTTCACATGGCACAATTATTCTGTAGTGCCTTCCCCAGTACCAATCAGTCAACTAGCAAATATTTATTAAGGTGCAAGATACTATGAAAGAACAAAATAGACCTGACCTCTGGCCTCCAGATGCTTATACTTTAATTGAGGTAATAGTTTACAAAGGATGCCAAAATGTTTTATAATATATCTTTCTGAACCAGATTTTAACCTTGTGGTTTATCTATTTTCATATTCTACCTCTTAAATACTATTAGGTGTTAATATTAGCTAGCAAGCAATTACTAAAACAAAGTATTCAGCTATATTTGCAACTCATCAAGTCCTTGAAAATTAGTGATCCATGACACTCAAGTGATTTAAGTTATTTTATTCTGTAAAATTACTTTAGTCTGTAAAAGCACCAACTGGGAAAACAATCAAAACCATGTAATAATTACATGTTTCATTTATGTATTCTCAAATTTTTCTGAATTAAAATACTGGATCACAAAATGACCTGTATAAAGGAAAAGAAGAGGTTAAGAAATAAAAGCTCAAAAAAAATTAGAAACCCAACTAAGCTCTTGAAAACTTCCTAACTAAAGGCTAAGATTTAATTACTGTACTCAAAGCAAAATAATTTAGCAGATAACCGCATTAAGTCGCTTTGTTACTCTAACCCGTCTATCCCTTTCTATTTTTCTTTTTTTTTTTTTTTAAACAGGCCTTACATTTTAAATTCTTCAGTACTGTTTAGCTGTCTCTATACAAAATTACTTGGAGACTTGATCATTTATTTTAGTATGGCCAGGGTTTCTAACAAGTTAGAGACAAAGATAAATGAAGAAGAAAGTATATCATAAATTAAAATTCAGCAACAAAGTACTTAACCTTTGACCACTGTGTTAATTATGGTTCTATAGATCAGTAAAATATTGATTATTAACCAGTAGTTATAATACCGTAAAAGCATAGCTACCTAGCACATCTCTAAATAATTAGTTTACTTCATATGGTAAGAAAACAGTATCAGCTTTTTATCCACAGTACCTCAAGAGGGAAATCCTTTATGCTGACATCTACAAAAGATTGGCAGTAATGAGGATCCATGTAAATCAAACTGTCATCTACAAGGACAAAACAGAAGACAAGTAATTCAAAAAACACCTTATTATTACACTGCTTACAATCCAATTTCTATGTAGAACAGCTGAAAAAAATCTGGGAGTAACAGCTTGCCAGACTGATATTCATTGACTGAAACATAGGTTTGCACAGGATAGATTAACTTTTGCATAATCAAATATGCTTGTATAAGCAGAATTTTTATAAAGTGATGAGACTGTCATTTAATTTTTGGTGATAAAATTGCTTTCACAAACACACAATTATATTCTACAGTTTGCATATGAAAAATGTATTGCACTTCTTTATCTTGACAGGAAGAACATATTGCTTGTCATTTTATCATCTACTTGCACCACTAAAACTGGTAAAAAGTAAATATGTAAACAGCAACTGCCAGAATGTGGCAGTGATGTTTTCTGAAGTTTAGCGCAACCAATAAATTATGCCTTGTTTATGCAGTAACAGAAATTAAACATATATTTTACAGAATCTAATTATGTTGTGGACCAAATGACAAATGAGTGGCTATAGTAGGACTGATGAATGTATAAGGTACTCGTTTTGCTCTGTTAATCATCCTGTTTCCAGATGATCTCATATTAACTTTCTGACTTTTAAAAGAAAACAATGAAGAAATATATTTTACTAAATCACTAACCTTGAAATCCAGCAAAGTAATATGACTGTTTAGGTTTGCCACCAATAATACCCACACAATATTCCAGGCTTAAAATACCCTGCCAAAAAAAATTAATACAGATTTAGTCAAGAGGCAAGTGGTAATTATTCAAAGCAAACAAATTTCTATTACTAATATTAGTAGCTCCCAAATTTACCACTACCAGTTATCATTTATATTACATTTGCACCCAGGTTCTGAAATCCACTTGTCTTCCAAACTGCCTTCCTTTTCTTTAAATCACTCAACATTAACATGACAAATCAAATATTTTGATCAGCGTGTTGCTCAACAACATTAAACAACTACTACATAGAGAGATAATCAATTTTACCACCGTAAGGCAATAAAATTCCTGCCAAAGCCAATACACTTAGCCTTCCAGTTAGCTGGTGCAGCTTCACTGTGATCAACGTAAAATTTTCGTCAGGCTTTTTGAAATGCTAAAGATAGTTCTTAGTCCTTACTGCTGTTTTCATTGAACCTTGAGTCTTAGAATCACAAATTGAAAGCCATTTTCTAATCAATGGCATTCACTCAAATTTTTTATGCTACTTCATTTGAAATAAAGAGTAATGAAAATAACTTAATCCAATGAAAATAATAATTATTGCATTTAAAGCCAATTTATTTTACTAATCATAAAATATCAGGAATACCACAATAAATTATTTAATACACCCCTCAGCAATCTATTCTAAGCAGAACTCTATTTAAGTTAGGCCAAATCAACTCTATATCTTTTTAAAAACATGTCCAATTGAGTAAGTTTAAAATGTCTAGTGGAATCAATTAATGTCTTAACAACAGTTCCTGCAATAATTTTGATATATCCTATAAAACACTAATAATGATAAAGTATAGGTTATAAAATCCCAAAACTATTAAACAATAATTAAGCTTTCCTTCTCTTAAATGAGAGGATGTTTTGAAATCTCTAAGATATAAAAATAAATATATGGACAAACGTTCTTTTTCCTTTAACAAGTAACCAAACCATACAGAACACACACACATACAGGAAATACAGAAAAAAGTGAAACTTTTCCCAAATTCCAACACCCAGAGCTCATCATTATTAATATTTGGGGGAACACCTTCTTAACATCTGTCTACATTACATACATACACACACAGATTTACAAATACAATTTTATATATGTGAAATCTCACAACACATGCCATTGTAACCTTTTGTTGCTCATTATGTCATGAATATCTTTTCCTATCAATAAATAGAGATCTATATTAATAATATGTAGTAGCTGAAAAATATTCTATTTTATGACAACAAAATGTGCTTTAAAACCTCCACTATAAATATTTAAGTCATTCCAAGTTCTCACTGTTATAAGTAACCCTCCACTATAGTTTGAACATTTTTATTCCCTCCAAAATTCATGTGTGGGAACTTAATCCCCAATGTAGTGTTGAAAGCTGGAGCCTTTGGGGAGGTGTTTAGGTCATGAGGGCAGAGCTTGCATGAATATCAGGTTAAAATCTTAGAGCTAACTAAAAATAAAGATAAAATTGTATCAAAAATCTCAATGTTGCTATAAAAAGGACTTGCAGGAATGGTTTCTCTCTCCTGCTCCTCTGCCACGTGAGGACAGAGTTCGCCCTCTTTCGGCCCTTCTGTCTTCCACCATGTGAGAGCGCAGCAAGGAGACCTTCATCAGATGCCAGTGCCTTGATCTTAGATTTCCCATCCTCCAGAACTGTGAGAGAATAAATTTCTGTTCTCTATAAATTACTCAGTCTCCAGTATTCTGTTACAGCAGCAAAAAATGGACTCGGACACCCTCTAAAGAACAACCTTGTATATTCTTAGTATTGTAAAAATATCATGAAGTTTTTTCTGAAATGATAAACTGAATGAGAGCTGCAACTGAAAAAATTAAACAGAGAAAGCATATCAGGTTAAAATCTTAGAGCTAACTAAAAATAAAGACAAAATTGTATCAAAAATCTCACTAAACAGTAATAAAGTTACTTATCAATTAAGAATTCTACTGTTTTCCCCCTAAATAAAAATCCTTAATACAATTAGAGAGTGCCTTACTTCGAGGCAGTCTGATCAGTTGAAATGCAATGTTTATATCATAGAGACCTGTGAGGCAGTGAAAGTTCTATGTCTCTTACAACTGAGAAAAGAAAGAAAAAAATATATAGCAAGGATTGTCACTGACTCTCCTCAGAAAATGAATGGTTCTAAGTAACGGAAGAAAGACTTTGGTTCTTGACATCTGTATTTCCCTTGCAACGCATTAGAGCAAGTTTAGTAATAAACGCTTAGAAGCAGATTAGGAGCTAGAATGCCTTTACATGTAAGAGGCTGTATCTTTGGATTGAAACACTTTTCAGTTCCTAAAAGAGCTTCTTTACAGTTATTTTTCTAGTGGTGAAAATTTATTGAGCTGTATCCATGAAGCAATAAATAAGACTGAAGTAATCAGTCAAAAAAAAAGTCCTAATTTGTCTCACTGAAGAAAAAGAACATATTGGATTTTCCTCATTCCAGGTCCTTAAAAATACATACATACATACATAAATAAACCTCCTGTGGTAAGGACGAATAAAGCACACAACAAATTTCCTTCTTCTCATACAATGTAGCAGGATGCTATGTTGGCACTATCTCTGAAATACCTTGTTTAATAAATTTGAAAAATAGAACTGAACAGTACATTTTAGACTCACCAACGCACATTGGTTTGGCAGGAAAAAATACAACGGCTGACCATACATGAAAAAAAGGAAAAAATTATTTTTCTTTTAGGGCTAATGAACACACTACCTTTTCACTTCTAAGTGAATACCTCTTTACATGCTCTCATTGGGGTTTGACTCAACCATCCCCTCTGGCCAAACATAATACCTATCATATAACCTACTCCACTTAACCATTTCAGCCATTTTTACCTAACTGGAAAATCAAAATGTTTCAATAGTCACTGCTCTCCCACTGTAGTGGACTACGGTGTAAATCAAGTTAGTAAAAGCTCGAGAAAATGTTACCTTTCAAAAAGTTCATGTTTTAGAGAAAACCATGAAAAACAAACTTACAGTCAAGAAAAGTCTAGTCTCTGCTACCAGTTTGCTATCTGAATTTGGATATATCACTTGACTTCTCTATGTCTTTTCTGTTTCATAAAGACAATCCAGTTCCTAGCTACTGTGAGGGCAAAATGAGATAAATTTACATTGAAAAGTATTATACAAATTAGGGTTAACAAATATGTATTGAGTAACTCCTATATGTTAGATACTGAGGCTTCACTTTAACAGCTTAACCATAGTTCATTTCACTACAAAAAGAAAAGTCCTAATTTGTCTTGCTGAAGAAAAAGAACATACTGGATTTTCCTCATTCCAGGTCCTTAAAAAAATATAAATAAATAAACCTCCTGTGGTAAGGACCAATAAAACACACATCAAATTTCCTTCTCCTCATACAATGTAGCAGGATGCTACATTTCACTACAAACCATGGTCAAGCTATTAACCATGAATCACTCAAGAGCATTAGGCAGTGAGACCATCTAATGAATACTATCAATACCACCAAATAGCAAAGTCCTCAGCCAGATGAAACATGCCTGAAGCCATTTGCAACCCATTCCACCAGGAATGAAGCTTTGGCTAAAGGAATCAGTTCCAAGACTGCATCAGTTTCTAATCTTCTCATGGTAGTAGAGAAGGCAAAAAAGAATCCAGTTCAGATTTGATTAGAACCCACCTAGAGATGACAACATGTCAGAAGTCTCAAAACCCTCAACAGATTCTCTAGATGAAGTGGTTCACAGCTTCTCATACTGCACCAATAACCCTACTAAAGATACATGTCAGACATCAAAACCTTACCTTTATTTGGAAGATTAATATGTCATTGATATATTACAGTATTGTTACTCTTAGTAACAAATGTGCTTCCAAAATTTTAGTAACTATTAAGAAAAGCCAGTATACCAGCTAAAAAACTTCCATGTATATCATATGTTAAAAACAACTGCTCTAGATTTCTAGAATTAGCACAATCTACCCTGAGAATAGATGTTCCAACTAAATATATAGAGACTATAACATGGGATGCCTCATGGAGGGAACAAATAGTTATTAATCATAAAAGATAGATTCAGACTTTATTTCAACATTACTATATCCCATAACACTCCATTTAAAGAAGAATTCCAACTATTGCTGCAAAAAGAGACTACTAAAAAATGAAGAATTTTATTGAAACTATGAAAATAAACTAAAAACTTCTGCCTTAATCAGAAACTATTTCCAAGGTATTTTATCATATGTGAATGTCTTGGTGCCCAAAACAAGATACCATAACTACACAGGTTCTTTTGAAGCAAGAAACCAAACAATGTGCTCCAAGAAAGAACCGATTTTTAACTGGTTAAGATGAAAAAAACAAAGTTGGAATTCCTCCAAATACTATCTTCATATCTTCATTATTTCTAGCTATAGAAATAATCTCATCTCTTATTGACATCATGGTGTCACAGGAAACATATTATGAGATAACATAGCAGTAATAGAGAGTTTTTTCAATAATTAATGTGATGTAGTTTAATGCTAGTTTTATGAATAAAGATATATACTTAAAATTACAAATAAGAATAATGAAACTGTAACTATATTACAGGTTATGATTATTGCTGCATCTGTGTCTCCCTGATTAGCTACAAAGATTAAAAGGCTTTTCATTTTGTTATAGAACACTGTGCTCTTCAACTCACATTGGTCTTATAATACCAAAATTTAAAATCTCTAATGTCAAACTTTACAACGTACAACGTACAACTACAAAATCATCACTACTCATTTAACAGAAAAAAATTGCAAACCTTCTATATTTTTCATATTAGCTAGTATTGCCCTAAAAAAGTTCAGCACTTATTTCATACCTTCACAAATTCTAAGTAGTCGGTGTTGGTTCTTTCTCCACCAAGTCTAACAGGAACTAGAATAATAACAGCTTTGTCATCTGCATTATCAGAAGTCATGGAAGCACTCTGTTTATCAATTACATCAGAATTGTAAACTGAGAAAAACATAATGAATATGTATTAAATTTTATATAAAAGCGATTTTCAGAAATATTTTTACCCAAATTTATCCTCCACCCCGCAATGGACAGCCAGCTATCTCATCTCTGGCATCACCAGAAATGTCTTAGTAAGTTAAAAATACCACTAGGATAACTGGCTAGCCATACACAGAAGACTGAAGCTGGACCACTTCCTTACACCATATATAAAAATCAACTCAAGATGGATTAAAGACTTAAATGTAAAACTCAAAACTATAAAAACCCTAGAAGACAACCTAGGCAATACCATCCTGGACATAGGAACAGGCAAAGATTTCATGACAAAGATACCGAAAACAATCGCAACAAAAGCGAAAATTGACAAATGGGATCTAATTAAACTTAAGAGTTTCTGCACAGCAAAAGAAACTATCAAAATAGTAAACAGATAACCTATTGAATGTGAGAAAATATTTGCAAACTATACATCTGACAAAAGTCTAATATCCAGCATCTGTAAGGAACTTAAACAAATTTACAAGAGAAAAACAAACAACCCCATTAAAATGTGGGCAAAGGACATGAAAAGACACTTTTCAAAAGAAGATATACATGTAGCCAATAAGCGTATTAAAAAAAGCTCAATACCACTGATCATTAGAGAAATGCAAATCAAAAGCACAATGAGATACCATCTCACACCAGTCAGAATGGCTATTATTAAAAAGTCAAAAGATAACAGATGCTGGCGAGGTTGTGGAGAAAAGGGAATACTCATACACCACTGGTGGGAGTGTAGATTAGTTTAACCATTTGTAGAAAGCAGTATAGCAATTCCTCAAAGAGCTAAAAACAAAACTACCATTTGACCTAGCAATGATTACTGGGTATATACCCAGGAAAATATAAATCATTCTACCATAAAGACACATGCACACGAATGTTCACTGCAGCACTATTCACAATAGCAAAGACACAGAATCAACCTAAGTGCCCATCTCACAGTTAAGAAAATGTGGTACATATACACCATGGAATACTATGCAGCCATAAAAAAGAATGAGATCATGTCTTTTGTGGCAACATGGTTGGAGCTGGAGGCCATTATCCTTAGCAAACTAACACAGGAACAGAAAACCAAATACTGCATGTTCTCACTTAAAAGTAGGAGCTAAATGATTAGAACTCATGAACACAAAGAAGGGAACAACAGACACTCGGGTCTACTTGAGGATGGAGGGTGGAGGAGAGAGAGGAGCAGAAAAAATAACTACTGGGTACCAGGCTTAATACCTGGGTGATGAAATAATCTGTACAACAAACCCCCGTGACATAAGTTTACCTATCTAACAAGTACCACATGTACCCCTGAACCTAAAATAAAAGTTTAAAAAAAATACCTACCTGATTTATGTATTCAATAGATACTTATTGATAGCTAGCTACTATATGACACTGGGCCTTCAGCAGCAGGCAAAACAGAAAAATTCCCACTCTTCTTGAGCATGCATGCTAATGGAGGAAATAGAGATGGTGATGCATGCTTTGAAAAAACAAAGAGAGAAGAGTGAACAGGAAATGCTGAGGGGGAGGCAATTTAAAATAAGGTGGCCAGGGAAGACCTTATGAGAAAGTAATATTTGAATCAAGACCAAAAGAAAGAAACCAAGTAATACAGACAGATACCTAGGGGAAAAGCATTCCAAGTTAAAAGATCAAAAAGTGCGAGTATCTTAAGGCAGAAGTATAATTAGCATGTCCCAGGAACAAGATGCCAGTCTTCTGGAGGGAAGTAAACAAGGGGTACAGTAGCAAAAATGGGATTAGAAGATACGATTATAGTTATAGGGGAGAATGAAGACAGATTGTGTGAGCTCTTGAAAGCCATTGTAAAGACCAGTTTTTCAATGATGGGAAGCCATTGAAGAATTTTTTAGGGATGTCCTAATCTGACTCACAGTTTAACAGCCTGTTTCCTGTGTTCATAATAGACTGTATAGGCAAGGGGCTGCTCTGCCTATGGAGTAGCAACTTTTTTATTCCTTTACTTACTTAATAAACTTGCTTTCATTTTACTCTAAAACCAAAATAGGCTACAGGGGCAAGGGCTAAAGCACAGAGAACAGTTACAAAGCCGCTGCAGTTATCCAGCAAGAGATGATGGTGGCTTTCCATTATGAGCAAACTATTGCAAGGACAGAAAACCAAATACCGCATGTTCTCACTCATAGGTGGGAACTGAACAATGAGAATATTTGGACACAGGGTGGGGAACATCACACACCAGGGCCTGTTGTGGGGTAGGGGGAGGGGGGAGGGATAGCATTAGGAGATACATCTAATGTAAATGATGAGTTAATGGGTGGAGCACACCAACATGACACATATATACATATGTAACAAACCTGCACGTTGCGTACATGTACCCTAGAACTTAAATTAAAAAAAAAAAGAAAGAAAAAAAGAGATGATGGTGGTTTGAACAAAGGTAGTAACTGTAAAAATAGGGAATGGTCGGCCGGGCGTGGTAGCTCACGCCTGTAATCCCAGCACTTTGGGAGGCTGAGGTGGGCAGATCACGAGGTCAGGAGATCGAGACCATCCTGGCTTACATGGTGAAACCCCGTCTCTACTAAAAATACAAAAAAATTAGCCAGGCATGGTGGCGGGCGCCTATAGTTCCAGCTACTGGGGAGGCTGAGGCAGGAAAATGGCATGAACCCGAGAGGTGGAGCTTGCAGTGAGTGGAGATCGCACCACTGCACTCCAGCCTGGGTGACAGAGCTAGACTCCATCTCAAAAAAAAAAAAAATAGGGAATGGTCACGTAGAGGTGATCAGTTTGGCCAGGTGTGGTGGGTCACGCCTGTAATCCCAGCACTTTGGGAGGCCAAGGTGGGTGGATCACTTGAGGTCAGGACTTCGAGGCCAGCCTGGTCAACATGGCGAAACACCGTCTCTACTAAAAATACAAAAAATTAGCCGGGCATGGTGGCAGGCACCTGTAATCCCAGCTACTTGGGAGGCTGAGGCAAAAGAATCGCTTGAACCTGGGAGGCAGAGGTTGCAGTGAGCTGAGATCGTGCCACTGCACTCCAACCTGGACAACAGAGCGAGATTCCATCTCCAAAAAAAAAAAGTGATCAGTTCATGTATCTGAAGATAAATAAGGACTCACTATTAAATGTAAGATGTGAGAGAAAAAATTGAGTCACAGGTGATTTGAAGGGTTTTGGTTTAAGCAAACAGAGTAAGAAAGTTGCCATTTATAAAGACATGGAAGACTGGAGGAGGGGAAAATATAGGAGGGAGAATTGGGAATTCAGTTTGAGATACTTGTTAGGTAAACAGAAAGGTTGAGTAGACAGGGACACGCAACTGGAGTTTAGAGAGAGGACTAGAATGGACCTATCAATTTGGGAGTTACCAACATGCAGATTACTATCTGCATTATAAAGCCACAAGACTTGGTGAATTCAAATCAGTATAGACAGAAAAAAAGATGAGATGAAGTCTAAAGGCTGAGCACTAAAACATGACATTTTTAGAGATCAAGGAGATGAGGAAAAACCAACAAACCAGGCTGTGAAGGAGTGAATAAGGAGGCAGAGGGAAAATCTACAGAGTAGTGTCCAGAAATCAAGTAAACAAAGTGTTGTAAGGAGGAAGAGGAAAGAGTCAACGGTGTCAAATGCTACTGATAGATTGTGTGATATGAGGACTGAGAAGTTACTGCGAGGCTTAGAAAGATTAAATTATTGGTAAGAGCAGTTTTGGGGTGGGCACAACGGCTCATGCTTTTTTTTTTTTTTTTTTTTAGACGGAGTCTCCCTCTGTCACCCAGGCTGGAGTGCAGTGGCACGATCTTGGTTCACTGCAGCCTCCGCCTCCTAGGTTCAAGGGATTCTCCTGCCTCAGCCTCCCGAGTAGCTGGGACTACAGATACCTGCCACCACATCCAGCTAATTTTTGTATTTGTAATAGAGATAGGGTTTCACCATATTGGCCAGGCTGGTCTCGAACTCCTGACCTTCTGATCCCCCTGCCTTGGTTTCCCAAAGTGCTGGGATTACAGCCATGAGCCACCATGCCCAGCCAGCTCACACTTATAATCCCAGCATTTTGGGAGGCTGCGGCAGGAGGATCACTTGAAGCCAGGACTTCAAGACCAGCCTGGGCAACATAGCGAGACCTTCATCTCTATAAAAAATTTCAAAATTAGCCAGGGATGGTGATGCATGCCTTTAATGCTAGTTACTTGGGAAGCTGAGGCAGGAGCAACACTTGAGCTCAGGAGTTTGAGGTAACAGTGAGCTATGATCGCACCACTGCACTCCAGCCTGGTCAACAGAGTAAAACCCTGTCTCAAAAAAAAAAAAAAAAGAGAGAGAGAGAAAGAGAAAAGAGCAGTTCTGGTATGATGGTGGGTATGACAGTCTAAGTACCACAGTTCAAGAGAAAATAGGAGGATCTGGTAGAAGCAAATATAGACAAAATTTTATTTTATTCAAATTAAAGTAGTTTTATTCAAAACATACTTTACACCCATACTCCTTGTCAGTTGAATGAAACTCTTCTGATCTTCCCAGAAGAGCCGAATAGGAAATTCTGCCACTTCTGTCCCAGTTCTTTCCTTTAAATTCCAAATTTAGACTGAGCTATCAAATTCTTCTCATCACCTAACTCCCCTATCTCCCATAGTCAATTGAAACCAAAGCTACAAAAATGCCATGGTAGTTCTCCCTCATCGGGATAGAGATTGCATTCTTACCCTTCATCTTCATTCGACACACATTTATTGAGGACCTGCAATTTATTTATGTGTTCTACACTAGAGAGGTATAAAATAAATAAGATCCTGACTTCAAACACTGTCTAGCCCAAATGTTTGGTGTTTTTCCTTCACTTCCAATATATATGTAAGGTATATGACATAGTCCAATTCTGTAACAGAGGCTCATTACAGCAGCGAATCTCAACCAAATGATTCTGATACCTTACTTCTACGCCTGCTACCTCAACAATCATTGATATTATATATAAGAAACAAACAATTATAAGGTGATATCACAAGTGAATTATAAGTTCAATATTTAATAGAAGTATTTCCAAATGTTACAGACCACAGAGGAAAAGTAATTCTGCCTAACGAGAGTTGGGAAAGACTGCCAAAGGTATAACCTTTGTGCGTGTTCTTGAAGAATGAATAAGACCTAACAAGAGGCATTCTAATAATAAAAAGCATTCCAAGCAGAGGCAATAATATGCACAAAGGCATGGGGAAAAAAGATAATGACACCATGTCTAAGGAATGGCCTGAGGGCGGAAAATATTTTAGTGTACTGTGTATGGAAGATAGTTAGAAGGTGATGCTGGAAATGTAGGTCGGGACAAATTATAAAGGACTTCATTGTGCTTCATATGCCAAGATAACATGAGACTAGGAGTTAATGGGCAGTCATTGGTTTGTAGATAAAGGGACATGATCAGTTTCTTTTGATCAGATGGACCAAAAAGGGAAAAGAGGACAGGTAGGGAAATCAAGCTAAAGTCCAAACAAGAGATAAGGGTCTGATCTAAATCAACGAGAATGAAGATGAGAGAACAGATTTCAGGAACATTTTCTTAAGTGTTGACTGACTAAATATAATATAAGCAATGAAAGTGCAGTCAAGAATAAATGGGTTCTACTTACTACTTGAGTACATATGTGGACATGCCACTATTAGTCAAGAGAAAATAGGAAGAAAAAGGGGTGGGACCGAGGGAAACAGTAAGTGTACTTTTAAACGTGCTGAATTTGAAGTGTTTGTAGAATACGTAAGTGGAGATATTTGAAAGGTGGCAGAAAATATAAGTTATCACATATTGACTCAGGTAGGGTTAGAAATGTTTTTTGAGACAGAGTCTCACTCTGTTGCCCAGGCTGGAGTGCAGTGGCACAATATCAGTTCACTGCAACTCCGCCTTCAGGGCTCAAGTGATCCTCCCACCCCAGCCTCCCGAGTAGCTGGGACTACAGGCATGTCACCACCATGCTCAACTAAATTTTGTATTTTTTGTAGTGACAGGGTTTCACCATGCTGCCCAGGCTAGTCTTGAACTGCTGGGCTCAAGTGATCCCCCGACCTCGGCCTGTCAAAGTGCTGGGATTATAGGCATGAGCCACTGTGCTTGGCTCTAAAAATGTATTTTTAAAAGTCCTAGTATAGAGTACATAGTCCTAAGTATTTAAAGCCATAAAAATAGATGCAATTACAAAGGAAAACAACACAGAATAAGAAAAAGAGAAAATAAATAGAAAACAAAACCTTTAAAAACACTAATGAAGACAGAGGGGGAAGAAATCACTGATAGAGTCTGGTCTCACTTAATTCCTAATCTCATAGTCTATAAAAATTATACAAATACAAGTTCTCCCTTTAGGAGTCTTAAACATGAATGATAAAAATTTTAAGAACTTCTTCAAATTACACAAACCATTTCTATAACAAGGAACACTGTAATGTTTGCTTAATTATATGTAACAAATATCTAGGCTGACTGTGTTAATAAAAGCACAAAAGGTAAATTCATACATTTATTTAATGATTACTTGTTTAGGTACATCCTTAGGCTTAATTAGAACTATTTAACACAGCAAATGTTTTTCAAGACTTCCTACTTGAAAAACATAGTACCTGCAAAACTCATATACTTATCTGAAAATTTAGACCTTTTCTTTTCCTATGGCTATAATTACGGATATTGGTCTTTCTTTACAAGGCCAAACAAAAACGCATGAATATTTGGTAACTATTATTACACACTACAAACACTAGGTGGTTATCAGTGTAACCTTAAGCATTTTATAGATACCCTTGTATTAAAACATGATTGAAGTATATTTAACTTTTCTAAAACATTAACATATTTTATCATTGTTAACAGTATTCCTGTAAAAAAAACACTTAACAGCATGAGGTGGCTAAGCCATTTTTAATTTATTAAGAATTGAGGTGTCTATTTTATCCGCAACAAGTTTCAAAATTACTACAGGTTGAGCATTCCTAATCCAAAATCTAAAACTTTTTGAGCACAGCATTTTTCACAAGTGAAAAATTCTACATGTGACTGCATGTGATGGGTTGCAATCAAAACACGGTCAAAACTTGGTCTCATGCATAAAATTATTAAAAATAGTGTATGATATTTCCTTCAGGCTATGTGTATAAGGAGTATACAAAACATAAATGAATTTCATGTTTAGACTTCAGTCCCATCCCCAAGATATCTCATTACATACATGCAAATATTGAAAGGTCCAAAAAATACAAAATCGGAAACACTTGTGGTCTCAAACATTTTGGATAAAAAATACTCAACCTGTATAGAGAGTGATCATCAAAAAGAAGACCCAAAACAATAAAACAAAGCAAATCTGGACAATAGCTGCATCATTAGTAGATGATTTACTGAAGTATTAGTGAGAAATATATTCAATTCCTCATAAGATAAACTAAGAATTTTCTTTCCTTGAAACACGTCCACCAATGAAATGGTTCCCAGCATACATGCAGCCCAAGTATATACCTATGTTAAATTTTCCTGCCTATCACTTTTAAAGTAGTTATTTGAAATGCTGAAATTCTTTGAGAATTTATTTTAATATCGCAACTAAAAATTCATAGTATGTATTCAATCAAAAAATATTTTTATTAAATGCTTACTACATTTAGGAACAAAAATGTATAAGACATGGTCCCTACCTTCATAATCATTTACAGTATTACTGGGATAAGCTAAACACATATAAAAAGTATGACCAAATAAAACAAAGATTAGAATTATATACATTCCTTACCTGTACAATCTTGTGCAACATAAATAGTTATTCCTTGTAAATCAGGATGCCTTGCTTCTTCAACTGCTTTTCTGAGAAAATAACAAGCATTATCTTTCAAAATCCTAACATTTCCTATTGGCAACTAAATATTTAATTTAAGAAGGAAAAAATGCCAGCAGTTTTGTGACTTTCCTATTTAACTCATAGTGTCTGCTGTCAAAAACTATTATCTGAATGGTATCAGACATCAGATTAAAATTTTCAAAGTTGAATATTACATTAAATTACTCAAAGAACATTAAAACACAAATTACAAAATACATTAAAAAAAATTATTGGGTATAAAGCTCTACTCCCCTCCCTCCAAAAAGAAGGATTTCTCTCAACCACTCACCTTACCAGTGGTATGAATATGCTGCAAGATTTGCTGCAAATTAACTTACATTACTGACTAGGAGTCAATTACTGTGTCTGTCCTCTAGTACACTTAAGAAACTGTTCGTTCTTTAAACAACAGCATGACTTTTTTCCTTCATTCAAAAACCTATATGACCTGAACAAATGAATTTCCTAATTTCAAGTCTTGAAATTATATAAGTAAAACTGTAAATTAAACAATATTCCTAAGTATAATGTTCTCAATGGTGTACATGATGTGAAAAAAATCACAATAACAATATCTATAAACGGTGATTATGCAAATTGTGGAAATGTAATTTTATTTAACTATATATGTAATCATTTAATTGAAAATGCCCTATTATTCATGTTCCTATGTGTTAGTGTAGAAGAAAGACTGGCAAACTATGCCCATAAGCTGAATACAACCTGTATCCTGTTTTTGTACCATCTGCAAGCTAAGAAAGGTTTTTGACAGTTTTAAGGGACTGGAGGGAGAGGAAAGACGGTCAACAGAAACCTTTACAAGACCTGTGAAGCCTAAAATATTTACTATTGTCACTTCACAGAAGAAGTTTGCTGTCCCCCGGAGTAGAGAACATCTTGAAGGGTAGAAACTATGCTTTTATGATTATGCTTTTATAAATGTCATACCAAGTTGGAATTGATATATTATTAACAATCAAATTAATAACATTAGGCAAATACTTTTCAATTGTAAGCATCTGGCCTATAAAATATAGAAGCATGTTAATATGCAAAAATGCTTTGTAATGATTTCAAATTTATATATGATTTTAAATGGAGTAAATTTAAATCACAACATGCTATACTTATATGAAATATTAATGATTTAGTTTATAACAAAAATGGGATACACACACAAATAAGATAATTTTTTTAAAAACTTGGTATCAAAATAAATGGTACATAAAAAGCTGAAGTAAAGTGAAATTTGACTTTTGACTTTTTTCTAACTATCCTGAATGTCACAGATCCTTTACTTTTACCATGATATAATTATAATATTAATAGTGCCATACATTTCCAATTCACAAGAATTTGATGTGTGCAAAGAAATGCCGAAAATATCAATTTTAGCTCTTGACATTTCATTACACTATCAGTACATTACAGCCCCCAGGTTACACTATTAAAAAAAACTATAATGTTATGCACGTTCCAAGGTTGAAAGAGATGTTAGTGTTTAGAGCATTTCAGTAAGGTATTCTAATGAAAACCTGGTTAGAAAGAGACCTGGGATGTCTATACCTAAGAGAAAGAGAAGAAAAATTTGTCAGTAAATAAATTAAATGTAACTAGAGTCGCAATATGTCTTCTTTTTTCCCTGCTGGCAAATGAAAGCGTCTTTATCAACATTCTCATACAGTTAGACTTTTAAAGTTCCAATTATATATACACATTGCAAAAATCAGTATCTCTTAATCCTGAGGACCTCTGTCACAAGAAGAAAGATTTTAAAACAATTTTACCTTAAAATGTGAGCAACCACAGCTGGTCCATACCAATCTCCTGCTTTTTTCCCAGACTTCTTTCCATATTCTATTAGTTGATGTAAGCCAAAAAGAGCCAAGGGGGAATCACCAAACCAAGAGATGATTTTCCTATGATAAACTTCATTTCGCATTTCATGATCATCAGAATATTTCCCAATTGTTTCCTTCAGAGAAATTGTTGGGGTTTTGAATTCTCTTTCCCCTGAAAGTGATGCTTCAAATGATGCAGTAAATTTTTTGACAGTGTGGGAAGTCCATGATTCAGAGTCTGAATTTTCAATATTCAAAGCATCAGGCCAGGTCCAAGCTATAGTAGTTCCAAAGCAAAGTGTTCAGATCTTTTAAATAGATACTTTAACAATTCTACTAAAATAAATACGTAGCATTTAAGGTCATTTGGGTTACTAAGACAGTAAATTCAAAAATAGGTAAATACATGGAAACAAAAAGTAGATTAATGGTTGCTTAGGGAGAGGTACTGGGAGTGGCTGCTGATGAGTACAAGGTTTCTTCAAGGGATGATAAAAGTGTTCTAAAATTAGATTTATGGTGATGATTGTGGAACTCTATAACTATGCTAAGAACCACTGAATTATTCACTTGAAATGAGTGAATTTATGGTATATAGGTTATATCTCAATAAAACTGCTTAAAAAACAAAGGTACAAGACAACAATATGCCAAATATCAATGATGTTTCTACCTTAATGGTATTATTCTCTGTACTTTTCTGTAGTTTCCAAAATTTCATATAATCAAGAAAAAAATTACAAAAATACAAGACAAAAGAAAGAAAAAATAGTAACCTTGGGTAAAAATGGACAATCCCAGATGTTCTTTTTTCTCTTCTTTGACAGTGCTGAGATAAAGACTTTTGTATTTCATTATCAGACTGCTTATCAAACATCCAGTCTTGACTACCCAAAGGCACAATAAACATATTTACTAACATTTATGATACTCATAAGAAGATATCTTCAGAAAGTGGATGTTTTGATTATATGTTAAAATAGAAGTCTGACCATGGAAGTTTTAAATTTTTTTCAAAATATTTTCCTGTACGTTTCTTCAGAATAACTTAATCATTATTAACAGAGTAATAACAATTCTCTAATAGTTAATAAATGAAATCATAAAAGATCAAAGACCTTGAAAAATCAAATATATCCATTATGTCACTGTTTTGAATAACAAGACAATCCCCAAACATGCATGTAATTTTAAGTTAACAAAATAAGTCATAGATTCAGAGATCTAGTGAGGACTGAAAAATATTCCAATCCTTGCCCATGACTGCACAAGACTATAAATAAATCATCCCAGAAAACCAGTTTAAAAATTATTTTCCTTACATTTTCAACACCATTCTTCAATAAACATTCTCTCTAAATAATCTCATCAATAATCTCTACAAAAAAGTTACTAAATATATGCCATGCATTGTAGGGATACTGTCTTAACACTTATAAAAATCTGACAATATTTAATAATCAAATATGATATCTTAAAATTGTAAACTAAAATATTCTTACAAATGTACACATTATTAAAAATGGACTAACACAAAGGTGGCACATTAGGAAAAACATATATATGTAAGTTAAGTATCAATGACATTTTTTAGGGTCTAAAACTGCATGATTACCTTATTAGGAATATGTCTAGTGCCAGGCACAGTGGCTCACACCTGTAATCCCAATATTTTGGCAGGACAAGGTGGGAGCATCACTTGAGCCTAGGAGTTCAAGACTAGCCTGGGCAACATAGTGAGACCACATCTCTACAAAAAAATTTAAAAATTAGCTAACCATGGTGGCACGCACCTGTGGTCCCAGCTACTCAGGAAGCTGAGGCAGGAGAATAGCTTGAGCACAGGAGTTCGAAGTTGCAATGAGCTATGATTACATCACTGCACTCTAGCCTGAGCAACAGAGTGAGACCCTATTGCTAAAAAAAGTTTTTAATTTGAAAGAGTATGTCTAATTGATTTAATATAATTGAGTATAATCACACTAATAAAGATAAAAATACTTTTAAACCATTATTGACATGTAGGGAGAAAATAAAGAAACCAGAGTAAAGTCTCTTAAAATTTTAAAAATATTACATATGTCCTCAAAATCACTGTTACTAACCTGCCCAGGACTTAACTAAACTGGAGATAATCCAGAGTTCAACCAAAAGGAAAGAAACAGTAAGAACAATAAAATCCAAAGGGTACTAAAAATTGAACTAACTTAACTCATAATGGTGACCAAGAATAACAGGTATATTTAACCTGCATTTTTGAAAAGGGAATCAGGGAAGTTTACATATAAGTCATATCTGACCCAGTTCAAAAAAAATGCAATACACCAAATTAGTTACAACTCCTTAGAAAATCTCACAGTCAAGAAATTAACCTCAGGGAATTTCATGCAGTTTGTAAGCTGGAATTCAAATGGAAAAATATCGACGACAAAAAAACAAAACAAAACAAAACAAAAACAGAAATTTGATTTACCTCTACCAAGAAAGTGTAGTATGAGTCCTTGAGCCAAGAGCATCTGGCCAGTTCTCAATGTGCAGCCCCACCCACAGTCTGTTGTCAAAGCTGAGCCTTCTATTTGAGGGAATTCTTCCCTGTAGGTCAGCCATATTCTAGAAATGAAATCTTTACGAAATTCTTCTACATTTCCTGCAATTACGTGATCCTCTATTGTACATCCCGACTCTGCAGGTAACGTTTTATCTTCATCTAAAAAATAAACATACGGTCTAAAGATAACCAGAGAAATGTCTATAATGGTAACAAACATTATCATTACTGTCTTAAGATGTGAAGTATGTCACAATCTTTCCAATCCTTTTTTTCTAATTTTATCTTTTAAAATAAAGATATGAAAATCAAGTTAGATTTTCCTGACTGCCTATGAAAATCAAGTTAGAATGAATGCTGAAATGTTTTACATACTGTAGAGTTAACTAATATAAGGTATTATCAACAATACTCTTGTTATTAATAATAATATCCTATATTCTATACATAATTAACTCTTTGAAGAGGGGACACAGACAAGGACGATATTAGATTTCTCACTGGAAACAAAAGAAGAAGATAGTGCAGCAACATCTTCAAAGTAGTGAAGAAAAAAAATCATTAACTCAGAATCCTATATGCAGCAAAAACACCTTTCAAAAATAAAGGCAAAATAAAGACGTTTTCAGATACACAAAAGCTGGAAGAAGACATCACTAGCCAACCTGCATTAAAAGAAACCTTAGCCAGGCATGGTGGCTCACATCTATAATCCCCAGCACTTTGGGAGGCTAAAACAGGAAGATTCTGGCTGGGCGCGGTGGCTCACGCCTGTAATCTCAGCACTTTGGGAGGCTGAGCCAGATGGATCACTTGAGGTCAGGAGTTCAAGACCAGCCTGGACAACATGGTGAAACCCCATCTCTACTAAAAATACAAAAATTAACCAGGCATGGTGGCAGGCACCTGTAGTCCCAGCTACTCGAGAGGCTGAGGCAAGGGAATCGTTTGAACTCAGGAGGCAGAGGTTGCAGTGAGCCAAGATCGTGCCACTGCACTACAGCCTGGGCAACATAGTGAGATCCTCATTTCTAAAAATAAATAAAAATTAACCAGGTGCGGTGCAGATACTTGCGAGGCTGAAGTGTGAGGATGAGGATCACTGGAGCCAGGAGGTTGAGGCTGCATTGAGCCATGATTAAACCACTGGTCCAGATGGAAATACAGATTCACACAAAGGAATGAAGAACACCAAACATGATACCTTCTTTGAAGGATATTTGACTATTTAAACCAAAATAATAGTAATTTACTATGGGGTGGATAACATATTAAGTAAGATGTGTGGGGTGTATAACATATAAATAAGTAAAATGTATGACAACAATATCATAAAGACCAAGAGGGAGAAGGTGAAGTATACTGTAAGGCTCTTGGTATATCACTTGAAGGCAGACTGTGATAAGTCAGAGATGTATACTATAAACCTTAAACCACTAAAATAACAATAAAAAGTTATAGCTAATAAGACAACAAAAGAGATAAAAGAGAATGATAAAAATACTCAATCCAAAAGCAGGTAGAAAGGGAGGAAAAGAAAACAAAAAAAAAAGATTTAACAAATAGAAAGCAAATAATGACATGATACATTTAAACCTAGCTTTATCAATAATCATATTAAAAGTAAACGGTTTAAACACATTTATTTATTTATTTATTTTTAGTTTTTGAGAAAGAGTCTCGTTCTGTCACCCAGGCTGGAGTGCAGTGGTGCAATCTTGACTTACTGCAATCTCTGCCTCCAGGGTTAAAGCGATTCTTGTGCCTCAGCCTCCTGAGTAGCTGGGATTGCACGCATGCACCACAACGCCAGGCTAATTTTTGTATTTTTAGTTGAGACGAGGTGTCTCCATGTTGGCCAAGCTGTTCTCAAACACCCGGCCTCAAGTAATCCACTTGCCTTGGACTCCCAAAGTGTTGGGATTATAGGCGTGAGAGCCACCGTGCCTGGCCCTAAACACCTTAATTTAAAAGGCAAAGATTATCAGATTGGATAAAAAAGCAAGACTCAGCTAGTACTTCCTATAAGAAACATATTCTAAATGTAAAGACACAAATAGATTAAGTGTAAAGGATGAAAAAAGATATACCATGCAACTTTAAGCAAAAGAAAGCTGAAGTGGCTATATTTTTTATTATTATTATACTTTAAGTTCAGGAATAAATGTGCAAAACATGCAGGTTTGTTACATAGGTATACACATGCCATGGGGTTTGCTGCATCCATCAACCTGTCATTGACATTAGGTATTTCTCCTAATGCTATCCCTCCCCTAGTCCCCCACCCACTGACAGGCCCTGGTGTGTGATGTTCCCCTCCCAGTCTCCATGTATTCTCATTGTTCAACTCCCACTTATGAGTGAGAACATGCAGTGTTTGGTTTTCTGTTCCTGTGTTAGTCTGCTGAGAAGGATGGTTTCCAGCTTCATCCATGTCCCTGCAAAGGACATGAACTTATCATTTGTTATGGCTGCATAGTATTCCATGGTGTATATGTGCCACATTTTCTTTATCCAGTCTATCACTGATGGGCATTTGGGTTGGTTCCAAGTCTTTGCTATTGTGAATAGTGCCGCAATAAACATACATGTGCATGTGTCTTTATAGTAGAATGATTTATAATCCTTTGGGTATATACCTAGTAATAGGAGTGCTGGGTCAAATGATATTTCTGGTTCTAGATCTTTGAGGAATCGCCACACTGTCTTCCACAATGGTTGAACTCCCTTTAAACTCCCACCAACAGTGTAAAAACGTTCCTATTTCTCCACATCCTCTCCAGCATCTGTTGTTTCCTGACTTTTTAATGATCACCATTCTAACTGGCGTGAGATGGTATCTCATTGTGGTTTTGATTGCATTTCTCTAATGACCAGTGATAATGAGCTTTTTCCATATATTTGTTGGCTGCATAAATGTCTTCTTTTGAGAAGTGTCTATTCACATCCTTCACCCACTTTTTGATGGGATTGTTTTTTTCTTGTAAATTTGTTTAAGTTCCTTGTAGATTCTGGATATTAGTCCTTTGTCAGATGGAGAGATTGCAAAAATTTTCTCCCATTCTATAGGTTGCCTATTTACTCTGATGATAGTTTCTTTTGCTGTGCAGAAGCTCTTTAGTTTAATTAGATCCCATCTGTCAATTTTGGCTTTTGTTGCCATTGCTTTTGGTGTTTTAGACATGAAGTCCTTGCCCATGCCTATGTCCTGAATGGTATTGCCTAGGTTTTCTTCTAGGGTTTTCATGGTTTTAGGTCTTAGTTTAAGTCTTTAATCCACCTTGAGTTAATTTTTGTATAAGGTGTAAGAAAGGGTTCCAGTTTCAGTTTTCTGCATATGGCTAGCCAGTTTTCCCAGCACCATTTATTAAATAGGGAATCCATTCCCCATTTCTTGTTTTTGTCAGGTCTGTCAAGGATCAGATGGTTGTAGATGTGTGGTGCTATTTCTGAGGCCTCTGTTCTGTTCCATTGGTCTATATATCTGTTTTGGTTACTGTAGCCCTGTAGTATAGTTTGAAGTCAGGTAGTGTGATGCCTCCAGCTTTGTTCTTTTTGCTTAGGATTGTCTTGGCTACGCGAGCTCTTTTTTGGTTCCATATGAACTTTAAGGTAGTTTTTTCCAATTCTGTGAAGAAAGTGAATGGTAGCTTGATGGGGATAGCATTGAATCTATAAATTACTTTGGGCAGTATGGCCATTTTCATGATATTGATTCTTCCTATCCATGAGCATGGAATGTTTTTCCATTTGTTTGTGTCCTCTTTTATTCCCTTGAGCAGCGGTTTGTAGTTCTCCTTGAAGAGGTCCTTCACATCCCTTGTAAGTTGGATTCCTAAGTATTTTATTCTCTTCGTGGCAATTGTGAATGGGAGTTCACTCATGATTTGGCTCTCTGTTTGTCTATCACTGGTATATAGGAATGCTTGCGATTTTTGCACATTGATTTTGTATTCTGAGACTTTGCTGAAATTGCTTATCAGCATAAGGAGATTTTGGGCTGAGACAACAGGGTTTTCTAAATATACAATCATGTCATCTGCAAAAAGAGATAATTTGACTTCCTCTCTTCCTATTTGAATACCCTTTATTGCTTTCTCTTGCCTGATTTCCCTGGCCAGAACTTCCAATACTATGTTGAAGAGGAGTGGTGAGATAGGGCATCCTTGTCTTGTGCCAGTTTTCAAAGGGAATGCTTCCAGCTTTTGCCCATTCAGTATGGGCAAAATATGGGTTTGTCATAAATAGCTCTTATTATTTTGAGATACATTCCATCAATACCTAGTTTATTAAGAGATTTTACCATGAAGCAGTTTTGAATTTTATCGAAGGCCTTTTCTGCATCTATTGAGATAATCATGTGGTTTTTGTCATTAGTTCTGTTTACGTGATGGATTACATTTATTGATTTGTGTATGTTGAACCAGCCTTGCATCCCAGGGATGAAGCCGACGTGATCGTGGTGCATAAGCTTTTTGATGTGCTGCTGGATTTGGTTTGCCAGTATTTTATTGAGGATTTTCGCATCAATGTTGATCAGGGATATTGGCCTGAAATTTTCTTTTTTTGTTGTGTTGTCTGTGAAGTGGCTATATTAATATCAGACAAAATCGACTTCAGACCAAAGAATATCACCAAGAATAAAGAAGGTCATTTCATAACTACTAAGGAGTCAATTCATTAAGAAACAATAATAAATAATTCTAAATGTTTATGTACCTAACAACAGAGCTTCAAAATACAGTTAGTCCTCACTTAATGTTGTCAATAGGTTCCCAGAAACTGTGACTTTAAGCAAAATGATGTATAATAAAATCAATTTTTTTCTCATCATTGTTATAATGAAATGAAGTTGAACAAAAGGATGTTGAGGACCCACTGTACATGGTTTCACTTAAAGTTGCAGTTTCCAAGAACTATCTATGACGTTAAGTAGGAATTACTATAAAGGAAGCAAAAACTGATAGAACTTCAGGAAGAAACAGACAAATCCACAACGATAGATGTTAAATCATTTTGGTCCCTGAGATACAATGGGTATATCAGAGATAACCCTAAATTCTAATTTTTAATTAATGGCTCTTAGGCCCATCATGTCCTGGTCATCTAAGAGAAACCCTGAAAAAATGCTAGCCAGGTGATAGCATGCAATCTGTGGAAAGATGAGGCTTATTAAAAATAAAATAAATTCTTAATTGTTTTCTTTATAGACAGCTCACAGACAAATTGTAAGAAATTTTTTTTACTTTCGGTATTCGGTCTAGATACTACTAGGAGGGCCATTTGGATTTATATACTATATACCTCGACATAACAGTGCACAGCACGATATAATGAGAAGGAAAAACTGCATAATACAAGGAAATAAGTTTGTAGCTCAGAAAGGTAGGAAGATAAGTTTAAAAGCTTGATAAATCAGGACAGATTCAGCATTGTTAAAATAATCTAATTTTTGCAACCATGTTCTAATATTACTAGAAATTAAATAATAGAGACAGAACCAAGTTTAAGAATCTTGTATTAAATTCTTATGAATAAATTCATTGTAGATGACTTGGAGGGTAGTAGTGATATAAAATCACTGTGGCTGAAAGCCGCTACCTTCTAAGCACTTAGACTTGTGAGATATCAGAATGTCAATGCCTTCAAATAGAAAGGGAACTGAAACAAATGAACGAAACTCTCCATCAGATAAATGCCACAGAAAATGAGAGATGAGTGACTCCAGCTAAAGTAATTTCACTAAAATCCTTAGCAAAACAAAAGTAACTATTAAAAAATTTCTCTATGATAGAAAATTAGATATTAAAGAATCAAGAATTTAAGTAGGAATATGATCCAGTTAGAAATAGATTTCAAATATTAATTTGAATTCATGCCTTTATAAGAAAAACACTGAAAACATGTATCTGTTCTAGCTTGTCCACTGAAATGGCCTGGGTCAATATCATCCCCACAAAGCACCTTTGCACTCAGATTATGGTCTCTAACACTTTTTCTTCTAAAGAAAAAAAAAAAAAAACAAGGACTCAATGGGAAATTGCTAGCTTCCTATCTGATACTGAAAAGTACAAAGTGGGTCTGAACACGTGGTTTGGAAGAAAACAAGATGTTTCGTAAGATTTATGTGGTTTTGTTGAAAGATACAGAAGCAAATCTCAAAGGACCTTCCACTGGCCAATGTCACGACAATTTGAGCATCAAAAGATAATTGGTTGAGATCAACCAACATACAGTAAATGTGAAAAGCCGTAAGTCTGTAATGACAAAAAGAAAATGTTAGCATTAAAATATCTTAAATGAGGTGAAGAGAATATTATATTTCTGTTGAGGCAACAAAGAAAGTCTTGACCAAGGCAGAGCAGTAACCTCTAGACATGTGTTAAGAACTAGAAATTCACCAAAGTGAATATTTTTCTAATTATTTAATGTCTCTCATCTGTTGGACTGTAAGTTTCTTGAGAGTAAAGACTGTATATTTCATACTTTCAGCAGTAACCCCAGTGCCTGGCACATAGTAACCTCTCAATAAATAATTGTGGAATGAATGAATAACTTTATTCATCTAATCCTCTTCTTGTGAATACTTGTTTCCAACTTTTTATTAAAGCTACAATGAAATTCTTGTACATGTGTTTTCCACACATATGGAGAACTTCTCTGTAAATACTTAAGCGTCTTAGAAATGTTGGGTCGTAAGTTAAACATATTCTCTATTTTTCTAGGTACTCTCAAATTTCTCACAAACAGGTTAGACCAATTTACCCTCCCACCAACAGTGTTTCAGTTCCTATTTCTTCATACCCTTGCTAACACTTGATATCATCGAACCTTCAAATTTGTGTATATTATATCTGATAAGTAAGAACAGTATCTCATTTTATTTTGCATTCCCTTCATTACCAGGATATGCATTTTCTTGTATTTGGCCATTCAAGTTTCTAATTAAACAGCACCTCTTCACCATCTTGGCTCATTTTTCTTGGGTTGTTCAAGTTTTTCATATTCATTGCATATTCATTTGTGGTTCTTTATTATTTTGGAGACTAATCTTTCCTGATACATCTTCACACATGCACATATATATACATATATGTATATATAGATACATTATATATAAAATATATAATTATATAAATTACATTAGTATATTATATATTATTAAATATTATATATTACATTAAGTGATATATAATTATACATTATAATTATATAATTATAATTGTAGACTATATATTATATACACTATATATGTCTATATGTATTTATATATACATGTGTACATATACATATGTATTTTTAAATATATGTGTGTTTATATACACATATGTATATAAACATATATACATTTACTATAATGTACATATATTTATTATATATGTATATTTATACATATTTGTATAAATATCATGTGGATATTTTTAATTTTATCTGGTCAAACTGATTAATATTTCCCTTTTATAGACCGTGTTTTACAGTTTATACAAGTTCTTCTTGGCTGGCACGGTGGCTCAAGCTTGTAATCCTAGCCCTTTGGGAGGCCAAGACAGGAGGACCACTTGAGCCAAGGAGTTCGAGACAACCCTGGACAACATAGGGAGACCCTGTCTCTACAAAAAATAAAAATAAAAAATTAACTGGGCGTGGTGGCACACACCTGTGGTCCCAGCTACTTGGGAGACTGAGACGGGAAGATCATTTGAGCCCAGGGAGGTCAAGGCTGCAGTGAGCCGTGATTGGGACACTGTTGCACTCCAGCCTGGGTAACAGAGCAAGACACTGCCTCAGAATCTAAAAAATAAGTTTTTCTCTACTCCAATATCATAACCATTCATTCTATAAAACAATGCAATTTAGTTTTAGCACATATCATGTAGCCACAGCAAATAGCACATATCACAGCGTCAGTAAATGTAGACTAGCTGCTGTTAATATGACTGCTTTTACTTTCTATTCGTACCACTCTAGTAAAAATGCTCTCTCAAAAGTCATTAGTAATTTCTCATTGCCAGACCCTACACCCTCTACTCAGGCTATTTCCTGCTCTATCTCTTTTAAGCATTTATACACTTTGTACAACCCCCTTTTTCTACAAATGTCTTTCCTTTGGTTTCTACAGGTATACTATTATGAATTTTGTGCTATACATTGCCTTTCCTTTCTCAGTTTAATTCACTGATCCTTCTTCTTCAGTATATCCTTAAAGATAGATATTTTCCACCTATACTTTCCATCAATGTGATCTTATCTATTGGCCTTAAATGCCACCTTGCCCACCTTGCTGGAAAAAAAAAAAATCAATATGTCTATCCTTCACTTCCACACAGCCTACCTCAAATAACACATACCCGAATTTAAATTACCTTTCCCCTAAAATTCAGGCTTCCTCTAGTGTACCACTTTTGGTTACCAACACTATCATCCAAGATGGAGATATTTAAATCTTTGTTTCCTCTCTGTCTCTGAAGACCCCAAATCCAATCATCTGCCAGATGCTGTTGATCCTACCTTAAAATATCTCAAATCCATCCTCTCTTTTCCAGATGCACTGCCCTGTATCAAAGTCATCATGTCCTGTCTACTGACTTTCAATTCTTTTACATTACCATCAGTTATCTTTCTAAAGCATGAAATGGAAAAACACTTCCTTTTAGTCTACGTTCAACACTTCACTACTGACACCAAATGTGTGAAGGTTTTTCCCACACCAACTGATTTTCCAACTCTCCAGACACCAACCGGGAATCCTATACTTCAATCATGAACTAACTACCTGAAGTTAGCACAGACCCCACAGGGTAAGGACTGTCCCATAAGATCAATCTCCACTTCAGATGCCAATCATCAAAGTAGGTTCCAGATTACCCATACTTCCGTCCAACTTGGCTACAAATCAGTGGTTCCCACTATCCCCTCCTCAGGTTTGGTAATTTGCTGTGATGACTCACAGAACTCAAGGAAACACTTGGTTATATTTCGCCATTTATTATAAAGGATATCATAAAGAATACAGATGAAAAGGTACACAGAGAAAGGTCTAGAAGGGTCCCAAGCACAGGAGCTTCTGCTCCCGTGAAGTTGTCAGGAGTTGAAGGAGTGTGTTACCCTCCCAGGAGGTGGATGTGTTCACCAATCCAGAAGCTCTACATATCCCGTATTTCAGGGATTCTTATGGAGGCTTCATCACATAGGCATGATAAATTATCAACTCAATCTCCTCTTCCCTTGCCCAGAGGATTGGGAATGGGGCTGAAAGTTCCATTCTAATCTTGGCTTGGTCTTTCTGGTGACAAGATGCCATCCAGAAACCCACAGAGTCACCTCATTAGAACAAAAGATGCATTCTAATCACCCAGGAAATTCCAAGGGATTTAGGAGCTCCATATGAGACACTCCCATCACCTCCATCACTCAGCAAATTGTTAAGAGTTTTACCAACTGTGTTAGGAACTGGGATCAAAGACCAAACATAAGAACAAAAGACGTTCCTAGCACCCCTACCGCTCAGGATATTATAAGAGTTTTAGGAGCTCTGAGTCAGGAACAGGGGGCAGAAACTAATATATATAATTCCTATGATTTCACAAGCATATATTCAGTTATTATTTTGATGTGCTCCTTCTGGGCATGATCAATGTCCTAGCCAGCATGTTTTCAACAAATGATTACTAAAAATAATTAAATGAAATTTTTCATTTCATTGCTCAAAAATAATCATTGTAATTAAGAAGCCAGCTGGGTACCCCATCTCCTACCTCTCTGAAAACTTAGTAAAGTTGTTTGAACCAAAAATGATATGACATGTAGAAGGCAAAGCTAGCCCTAAGGTTTCTGCTAATTCTTCACAGCTTAAGGTTTCATGGTCCTATGTGCTTCTAGCTCTTGCAATGATAATGTGTTGTTTTTTTCATCCCAGATGCCAAATTTCACCTTTTTCCAGAAAAAATCCTCTTACATCAAGTATTTCATGAGCTTAACTGACTTTACTGAAGATCAGGGACAATAACAAGGAAACCTCTCAATGGACATACAGCCTCCGGCTGCCTTTCTGGCTCTCTCTCTTTTCTTATCCCCTCCTCCCACACCTTTCTCCTTTCCTATATCCCCAATCCTACTCCAGAAAAGAAGTCTTCTATTTCCCTCATTCATAGCTTCTTTATCATTTACTTTTCATCGCTTGATTTTTCAAAGTATTTCTTCCAAAAAATATATATATATAATTCTATCCTAAGAATAATTCTAATAAGTTTTTAATTTTTGAAATCACAAATAATATCACTTAAAATGCTTATATGTATCAGACATATATATATAAATCCATACGCTCAACCATACGTATTGCTGTGGTTGTCCTCTGCCCAAAAAAAAAAATGACCTAACTCTTTAGCACAGCACTCAAGATCTTCCTCTGTAATTTGGTCCTTTTCAGAATTATCTCCACCATAGCTAAACTGGACACCTCTCTGTCTCCTAAATATGCCCTTTATTAACTCACTGCTATTGCTTTCATCATGCCATTCTATTTACCTAAAATGCATTCCTTCTTTATCAAATTCCTACTTATCCTTCAAGACTGTTGTAAGGACTCAACAGTTAATACATGTAAATTATTTAGAATACTGCTTGGCACATTATAAATGCTCAATAAATGTCAGCTGTTATTACTACAAGCCATTTACAGGTTTTAGAAAATTGCTAATAAATGATATACCAAAATAGGTCAACCAAAAATGAAAAGCCATGATAACAACATACTGTAACACATATTCACTCTCTCTCGTTCTCACACACAAAACACAAAACCAAGCAAGGATGTATATTTAAAAGAATGCCAGTATTAGAGACACAGTCTTGGTTTAAATTTCAGCTCTGCCATTTAATACCCATGTGACTTTGGACAAATTATTTAACTTCTCAAATTTCCTGCCTTCACATTCACAAGATGAGAATACCTGAATCTACCTTGTAGGTTTCTTGTGAGAATTAAAGATATTTCCTAAAGAGCCCAGCATGGTGCCCGGCACCCAATGAGTGACATGAATTATTAAAAGAAAATATAAGAAAATTTTTGAAAGAATTAATATACGTAGAAATTCAAAACCATCAAGTAAAGTCAATTTCAGATACTGAAACATCCTTAAGAATTAAAAAAATTATCATTTTTAGATTAACTAAGGTGATACTTTTAATTATCAGAGAATGTGACAAACAATATTAACATATCAATTCAAATAATATTTACTTAGTACTCATACTATAAGTCCAAAATTATGGGGATATAACAAAAGATGACAAGGTCCTTATCCTCAACTAGTTAACAAGAAACCCAAACAACATAGTAATATATTATGAGCTATAAGAAATACAAATACTTAAAAGAAATACTGCAAAAGTAGATTAATCTAGAAATAAAATAATAAAAAGTTACATGATGATTTCTACAAAAATTTTTAAATGGTTTACAAATTTTGTACTTACCTTCATATTTAAAATGGTAACATTTTCCAAGCAATAATACAGGAGAATTTCTACTAAAATACGTCTTTGTTTTCAACACCCAACCTAGCAAAAAAAAAAAAAAGAAAAGAAAACGTTTTGTAATTAAAAGATTTCAGACTAAAAGTCTAGCAGCGTTTTCTTTTATTTAATTTCAAACCATCAATTATTATTTATGGATGTGCATTTTTGGCAACAGTTGCAAAATACAATATTTGAACAATGAACTGGAAATAAAGGCAATTTATGCTAGTTTCAAATAAAGTTAAGAATTTTAAACACACTTTAAAAACTATCCAATTAAAGGACATAAGAAAGAAAAAATTTTAATTTTAATTTATTTTCAGATATCTCATAACGGTCTTTATCAAGTTCTCACAATGTTCTTATGGTACATAATTTAAACTGCCAATTGTGTTTTTCCTGAATTTGCATTATCAAGGGGTTTTACTGAATTCTGTTTTCACACTTATTTTATGAATATGAGCTTTTTTCCTGTTGAAGCTGGTTCTGCCCAAGTACTTCTCCATCTTAGGTGGGCTTCAAAAATAGCCATATACTCCTTATTAGATTTGTTTGCAAATCAAAAGGAACTAGGTTAAAAATAATATCTAGGAGAAAAATCAGAGGTATCAGTGCACGAACTTTACAGTCTATTTTGTGTGGGAAGAGGCCTATTTTGCTTATTTCCTGGCACAGAGATGAGGCTGCCTGAAATTGTATCTGAAAAGCCAAGGTATTATCATCACCTGAATAAATTCTATATGTTTTAGAACGCTAAAAAAAAAAAATTATGCAAGACATGAGGATATTAATATACTCTAGCAACTTAAAAAAAAAGGAAAAAAGGCCAGGCCCAGTGGCTCACGCCTGTAATCCCAGCACTTTGGGAGGCCAAGGTGGGCGGATCACGAGGTCAAGAGTTCAAGACCAGCCTGACCAACATGGTGAAACCCAATCTCTACTAAAAATACAAAAAAAAAATTAGCCAGGTGTGGTAGTGCGCACCTGTAGTCCCAGCTACTCAGGAGGCTGAGGCAGAAGAATCACTTGAACCTGGGAGGCAGAGGTTGCAGTGAGCTGAGATTGCACCACTACACTCCAGCCTGTGTGACAGAGCGAGACTAAGTCTCAAAAAAAAAAAAAAAGAAAAAAGGAGACCACATCGTATGCTTGAGTTTCTAGGCAATGTTTATGATGATACTTGGCTCTTTCTTCAGGAGATATTTTTAACTACATTCCTTATAGAAATATTTCATTCAAAGTAAAGTATGCCATTTATTCTCAAGAAATTGTCAGTGACTTAAGAGGGGAAATGATAAATATTGTCAAATATTTCTTTGGATTTATACAATTTTTAAAACATGATACTTACTATATTTCATGTTGTTCCAAGCAGATATAAATTTGGTTTTTAGCTTGTCAACTTCATCTGTTCCTGTAGCCTCCATATTCAAATTCTAAAGGAAAAGCCATCACTTGATTGCATTCTTCTGTAGAGTTTAATCTTTTATACTGACTTTAAAAATTAAGGAAAAAAATCAGTAATTACTACATATATGGTTACATGGAGCAATACCTGTTAAAGTTACTTAAGTGATTAAATACAGTTTGAACTGCAAATGAACAAAACAATTTCTCTTTTTATACTCAGAAATAAACAGAAAACCAATTTCTCATTTTACAAACAGAAATCTTATAGAATAAGATATTCTATATTTTAATTACAAAAAACCTTTACTAACAAATATACAACAATAAACCTATCATGCAAAACCAAGCAATAATCTCCCCCAACTGCTCACAATTGAATACAATAAATCAATTTAGTAACACAGCTCTGCTCTGGTGCATTGGCGCAAGTGAGAATATCCAAGATTTGTTTTATCTGTCATTAGAGAAGGTGATTTGAAATCTTATAAAAAATCTTGACTATCTTCAGAATGGAAGCTTCCACTTATATTGATTAGTCACTACTTTCACATCACATAAAGTCTAATTATTTTGTTTTGTTTTTTAAATAAGACATTTCCTATGTTTCCTTCCTATCTCCATACTGCAGCACTTAAACAAACAGAACGGCTTAAATTTATAACGGAAAATGTTCTTACTTTAAAATAGAATAAATGTAGCTCATAAGTGTCTGTTTTATTACTGACTTTAGGGAAAATTGAGATGTGTGATATAATCTCAAAAGGAACAAATTATAACTGAAAATGCTTGTGCTTATTTGCAATAATTCACAGTTTACTTTTCAAGAAAAGAATGCTGCACAGAACATTACCCTTTTAAGATTAGAAATATCTACTCAAAAATATTGATACATTCATTTCTCTAACAATAGACATTCCATTTTATAATATGTATTAAAAGTTACCAATTATACATCATAGTTCTGAGCCAGGAGAAAGCATGGTCTATTGGAAGAACTTAAAAAGTCAATGTGACTAGAAAACAGAAAAGTCTAAAAAAGTGGCATGAGATGTCTAAAAAAGTGGCATGAGATGAGGCTATAGGGTTATATAGATGCCAAAGCACAAACGGCCTTGTAGACCAGGTTAAAAATTTTGTTCTTTATCCTAAGAGCAATTTGTTTCAAACAGGAATATCATAACCAGATTCAGTAGGTTTGTTTGTTTTACTTCAATAGCAGCATGGAGAAGAACATGGAAAGGAATAAAAGTAGATAATGAGTTTACCACTACAGGTTGAGTATCCCTTATCCAAAATGCTTGGGACTGGAAGTGTTTGGATTTCTTTTTTTTTTTTTTTAATATTTGCATTATGTATACTTACTAGTTGAGGATCGTTAATCCGAAAATCCAAAATCCAAAATGCTCCAATGAGCATTTCCTTTGAGCATCATGTTGGCACTCAAGAGGTTACAGATCCTGGAAAATTTCAGATTTCTGATTTTCGGATTAAGGATGCTCAACCTGTATTATACAGGACTAGGAGATGATAGCTTGGACTGGAGCAGTGAAGATGGAGAAATGGACATCTGAGGAAACATGTAGAAAATTCAGTAAGTCTTGGTGATACAATGGATATGGAAGGTAAAGAACAGGGATATGCCAAAGATATACCCAGGCTTTGGTGTGTGAAACTAAACAGATGGTGCCAATCACTGAGATAGGAAACATCAGGAGAGGGAGAGGTTAGAGGGAGAAGATTATGAATTTGATTTGAGATATGTGGTATTTAAGATGTCTCTGAGAAACACAAGCAGAGAGTAGTTCTTTTCTTTTTTTCTTTTTTTTTTTTTTTTTTTTTTTTTTTGGAGACAGAGTCTTGCTCTGTCCCCCAAGCTGGAGTGCAGTGGCGCAATCTCAGCTCACTGCAAGCTCCGCCTCCCCGGTTCATGCCATTCTCCTGCCTCAGCCTCCCGAGTAACTGGGACTCCAGGCGCCTGCCACCACATCCGGCTAATTTTTTGTACTTTTAGTAGAGACGGGTTTTCACCGTGTTAGCCAGGATGGTCTCCATCTCCTGACCTCGTGATCCGCCCGCCTCGGCCTCCCAAAGTGCTGGGATTACAGGCGTGAGCCACTGCGCCGGCCTTCTTTTTTATTTTTTTTTTAAGATGGAGTCTCGCTCTGTCTCCCAGGCTGGAGTACAGTGGCAACATCTCGGCTCACTGCAATCTCCGCCTCCCAGCAGGCTGGTCTTGAACTCCTGACCTCGTGATCCACCCACCTTGGTCTCCCAAAGTGCTGGGATTACAGGCGCGAGCCACCACGCCCTGCCATTCTTTTCTTTAATCATTAGATAAATTATTGCCAGGCACTGTTCTAGGCACTGCAGGTACAGCTGAGAACAAAGGCAATGAAATACCTGTTCTCTTGGAATTTACACTCTAGATATATTCTCGGGATGTCAATCAACTAGGCAGTTGGATATATAGATCTGGAGCTCAAAGGAGAGGTCTGGGCTAGGCATATTAATTTGAGAACTGCTGACGCATAAACGAGAATGAAAGCTATAAACACATTCCTCAAGGACTCTGTTTTTTTTGTTTATACCCCTAGCACTTGGCATAGTTCCTGGTACTTAAGGATGATATTTAAGGCCCTTCATGAAATAACCTCTGCCTACTTACTCAGCTTCCTCTTTTACTACTTCACATGCAGCATATGCTGAAACCACATTTAATATTAATATCAAAGCTTCCTGAACTTGGTATGTTATCTGGTACCTCATGCCTTTGCATCTGTTCCCTCTAACTCAAGTGCCTTACTGCTCACCCTCACTGTATGATGACCTTACTATCATGGAGTCCCTGAAACCCAGCTTTGGTTTCACTTCCTCTGGTAAGACTGGTAAGATTTCCTGACTGCCCTCTCTAAACTTTAAACTAAGATAGGTATCCTTCTCTTAGTTCTCATAGGATCCTACGTTTTCCTGTATCACCACATTCATTGCACTATACTGTAACTGACTGTTCTTAAATTCTGCCTGGCACAGAATTGGTTCTCAAAAATATTTATTAAAGGAATCAGTGAACTGATATGAAATATAGGTATATCACTAGCAGCACTCTCACCAGAATTAGAATTTTTTTTTAACTGACACTAGAATAAAGAAAAGGAAAGACGAATTTTCCTCAAGAAAACTGCATACATAATTTAGCAAAATCTGGAAAAGCAAGAAAAGGAAAAGAGTTTATAAAATGTGTGAATTATATATAGTGCATCCACATGATGGATTATGCATCCATTAAAAATGTCTCCTAAAATGGGGAAACACTATGCAGAATCTGAAACTTATGTGTCATATGACACAGGCAAGCGCAGGGACAGCGAAGGGGGAATGAAGGGAGTTAGAAAGTAAGAAAGAAGTACAGCAAAATGTTAAAAGTAGTTTCTCTGTGGTTATTTTTATACCACAGTTGCCCACATTTTCCAAATCTTATACAAAAACATTTATTATTTTTAGAATTTAAAAAAATTATTTTTAAAAAGCCACCAAGCTTGGTCTTCTAGATCCAAAATTTTTTAATGAGAGTATGTGCATGCAGGTATCTTCTTTCTAAGTCTGAAAGAAAGAAGGCCACAGGGAAGACTTTTTGGTTCAGACAGTTCTCATCACCAGCCATCCAGAATACTCTGGACAGTCCTCAGCAAGTGTGAAAACCAAGATGCCTTAATCTGGATGGGGAAAAAATGAAGACAGTGAGCAATTAGACATGTTATATGGGGAAGTCTATATCTTAGATAATGATGCCTAAGTAAATACAAAAGCAAGATAAGATGCTGTGACAAATCCATGGAGGCAGAGAGTGGAAGGATGGTTACCAGCGGCTAGGAAGGGTAATGAGAAGGTTGGGGAGAGGTGGGAATGGTTAATGGGTACAAAAAAAAAAAAATAGAAAGAATGAATATGACCCAGTATTTGATAGCACAACGGGGGATTATAGTCAATAATAATTTAATTGAACATTTAAAAATAACTAAAAGAGCATAACTGGATTGTTTGTAATACAAAGGATATATGCTTGAGGGAATGGATACCCCATTTTTCATGATGTAAGTATGACACATTTCATGTCTATATCAAAACATCTCATGTACCCCATAAATATATACACCTACTATGTACCCACAAAAATTAAAATTAAAAATTAAGATGCTGTGATAGATACAGAAATTAATGAAACAAATATTCTAACCTCAAAGGCACTTGGAGTGGAATAAATTGTTGAGTTGTTATTTCATTATTTTTGGTCAAAACTCCTGCTATGTAGCTACACTATTTACTCAGAGTAACTTTACCCCCAAACTTGAAACAATTGAAATGCCTCTGGGACACATCCTTAACTATTCTATGAAAATACTTTCATTATCATTGTTAGATAGAGTAGTTGAGAACGATAAAATTATTTTCGTAAGGTTAAACTAAAGATGAGTTGTTGCTAGTTTAATAAATAATTCAGCATAGTTACTTTTCATATGACTAAAATTAAATTCCATTTTTCTGTAAAGACTGAAACCCACTTTATTTCTGTAACAAAAATTTAAATGGAGCCTGGTGTGGTGGCTCACACCTGCAATCCCCACACTTTGGGAGGCTGAAGGGGAGAAATGCTGGAGCCGAGTTTTCAAGACCAGCCTGGACAACATAGTGAGTTTTTCTCCCTATAAAATTAAAAATTAGCCAGACATGGTGGCGTGTGCCTACAGTCCCAGCTACTGGTGAGGTTGGGGGATCACTTGAGCTGGCTGCAGTAAGCGATGATTGTGCTACTGCACTCCAACCTGGACGACAGAACAAGATACTGTCTCAAAAATAAATAAATAGCCAGGGGCGGTGGCTCACGCCTATAATCCCAGCACTTTAGGAGGCCAAGGTGGGTGGATCACGAGGTCAGGGGTTTGAGACCAGCCTGACCAACATGGCGAAACCCCATCTCTACTAAAAATATAAAAATTAGCCAGGCATGGTGGTGCATGCCTGTAATCCCAGCTACTCAGGAGGCTGAGGCAGGAGAATCACTTGAACCTGCGAGGCAGAGCTTGCAGTGAGCCAAGACTGTGCCACTGCACTCCAGCCTGGGCAACAGAGCAAGACTCTGTCTCCAAAAAAAAAAAACAAATATTAAAATGGCTGTTTCTAAAAATCTTAACTTTGGAGAAATCAGAGATTATTTTGAAAGATGATCCCTTGAGCCATGTTGGAAAGTATCACAAATTGAGACACTTTATAAAGGATAACCAAAAATTCCGATTGAAGAGGAGAGTTGCCTTACCACATATTAAAACACACTATAAAACTACAGTAAAGTTTAGTACTATTTAAATTTATTTTTCTTATTAGCACAGGATAACACTGAATAAAACATAATGGAGAGCACAAATATAAACCCAAGCGTATTTAAGAATTTAGTACCTAATATGAAAAATAACTACACAAGTGAGAAAAGATGGCTAATTTAATAAATAATGCTAAAACAATAAGCTAGACAGTTTTTAAAATAAAGCTAGATGACTACCTCAATAAATGATGAATTCTAGATGAATCAAATATTTAAATACAAATGCAAACACATATGTGCACATACTCCAAAGAAACACAGATTTAAATTATTTTTTAAATCTTGGGGTAGAAAAGGCCTTTCTGGCTGGGCACAGTGGGCTCATGCCTGTAATCCCCACACTTTGGGAGGCTAAAGTGGGTGGGTCACCTGAGGTCAGGAGTTCAAGACCTGCCTGGCCAACATGGTGAAACCTCGTCTCTACTAAAAATACAAAAAAATTAGCCAGGTGTGGTGGCACGCGCCTGTAATCTCAGCTACTTGGGAGACTGTGGCAGAAGAATTGCTTCAACCCAGGAGGTGGAGGTTGCAGTGAGCTGAGATTGTGCTACTTCACTCCAGCCTGGACAACAGAGCAAGATTCTATCTCAAAAAAAAAGAAAAGGTTTTTCTAAGCATGGTATATACAAAACCAGAAATCAGACAGGAAAATGTAATTAAATAAAAATGAAAACTTTGTAGAGAAAGAAGAAAAACAGTATAAGGTTGTTACAATCCAACAATAAGGAAAAAAGTTCAATACCAATTACCAATTACATATATAAAGAGTTAATGTCCTTAATATACAAAAAGGTCTTATAAATCAATAAGGAAAAACCTAAACAGAAAAAAAGGCAATTGGAAAAAGAAAAAGGCCATAAACATACAAAATATTTTCAACCTTACTAGACCTAAGAAATGTACATTAAATGAATTTTTTCATCACAAGAGATCAAACTGCCAATCCTGAAAAAACAAGCATAATTAACAATAACATAACTATTTCTCAAATTATTAACTCATAAACAATAACATAATTATTTCTCAAATTATTAACTCTTTGATGGAAGAGAATAGCACAGCCAGCACTAACAGACATAAAATCATCTGCTGATGACTAAATTATGGCATATACATATTATAATTATATAGATCTATATCACTATAAAAAGATATCGAGGGCATTGAGTGAGAAAAAAAGGGGAACAGCATAAATATAACTTATGCATGTCGATACATAAATATCATATATGTATATACATATGCCCACACATGTACATATATACATAAAACAATGTCTAGAAGTTCATAATGTTAGTTTCTTTTTTTTTCTTTTTCCCCGAGACAGAGTCTTGCTCTGTTGCCCACCCAGAGTGCAATGGTGCGATCTCAGCTCACTGCAACCTCCACCTCCCAGTTTCAAGCAATTCTCCTGCATCAGCCTCAGGAGTAGCTGGGATTTCAGGCATGTGCCACCATGCCCAGCTAATTTTTGTATTTTTAGTAGAGACGGGGTTTCACCATGTTGGCCAGGCTGGTCTCAAACTCCTGACCTCAGGTGATTCGCCCACGTTGGCCTCCCAAAATGCTGGGATTACAGGTGTGAGCCACCGCGCCCAGCCCATAATGTTGGCATCTAAGAAATGAACCTCTACTTTGACTTTCCTCTTTGTATTTCTCTTTATGATTTAAATTGTTCACATTGAGCATCTTTTAAAAAACATCAATATTATTCAAAAGTAAACTGCTCAAATAAAAAACTGAATACACTAAATTACAAATATAACCAGGTTATATTAAATTCTAACAATACAACTGAAACTGCTGGACTAGAAAATTGACAGAGAAGATATCCTATGACAAAATTCCTAAACAGCTGATAAAGTTAAAATGCTGAGACATTTTTTTTCTCCTTTTTAAGATAAAGAACCTTATTCTTGTGGTTCTTAAAGACATCAGATTCAGCTATTTAGTCATGTGAACATTTAACTTCCTCAATTTAATTCCCCATGGCAACTCTAGCTAAATAAAGTAACTTGGAGGATTATTCCTTGTTAATTCATAATTTTTGTTTCTCCTTAAAATAAATGGGGTAACATTTGGAAAGAGAAAAAGTAATAAATTAATGCTTTGTTCTATTAAAATATTTTATTTATATTTGTGTCAGATAAGCCAAGGAAAGCAAGACAAACAGTACCTTTAGTTTAACTACAAATGAGCAAAAAAAAAAAAAAAAAAAACCCACACAAATGAGGAAACCGCTTGCCTGCTTTTGTTAAAAAAAAAAAAATTAAAATGCATTTGACTACAAAGCATAAAGAAAAGTAATAATTTAGCCATAATTATAAAATTAGGAATTTTGTAATAGGATGTCTTCTCTGTCAGTATATTTCAATCCCTGTAGCAGTTAAAATGCCTGGTTTCACTGCCCCAGTGATTAACTGATATGCCAAAATTCCTGTTTATTCTATGTGGTGTCATTAGATTCTCAGTCTGGAAAGCATCAAAATAATATACTTCACAATTTCCAAACTATTTTTAGAAGGCGCTTATGAATTATTTCTTTAAAAACTATGAGAAATTATTAAATCTTCTCTTCTTTTTTTTTTTTTTAAGTAAAAAGGGGTCTCCCTCTGTTGCCTAGGATGGACTGTGCAGTGGCACAATCATAGTTCACTGCAGACTTAAACTCCTGCATTCAAGCAATCCTCCTGCCTCAGCCTTCCAAGTAGCTGGGACTACGGGCATCCATCACCATCCCCGGCTTAGAAAAATTACTAAATCTTTTTTCAAGCAGATGTTCTTTACTAACACATACTACAACAACCTTATCACCTGCCATCTTCATATTTCTGTGCATTGTTAACATTCTAACAAATCCATTTTAATTAGATGCTAATAGTATTAAAGAGAAGAAAACTATTTTATCCTATCTCAGTAAACAAAGGTAAAGCTAACAGATGAGGTTTATTCCTAACTTTACGGTTAATGATACAAAAAGCACAGTGAAGACTAAGCAGAATTCTTTTGGAGAGCAGAGCTACATCTGATATGAAAATTATCGATTGAGACCCAGATGTCATTTTTAGAGAGTCACTTTTCTAACCAATAACCATGCATTAAGATAGTCAAAAAACTGTAAACTGATAAATGTAAAGAGTACTCAAATCAATGTACAAGAAGGGCAGGTGAAGGTAATCAGCCTCTCCCATCTAGCAATAAGTAGACTACTTTATCCACTGAGGATTTAAGGCCAAGTAAATGCTCCTGGCAGAACTTTAGGGATTAAGTCTATGGAATACATCTCAGTCACATAGTGCAATGGGTAAAAACACCGCAGACCTCTGGAATTTGCGAATGCTCAGGCATCTTCCTCAAATAGTATTCTGCTGCTAGATGAAATATAGATATTGATTTAGAATTTTGGATGTGCTTTTAGCTATATCATCAAATAAAATGAACTGTGAAGTCTACTCTAAGTTTTTTATCTATGTAACCTTTTCTACCTGCTTGCATTTTTAGTAAGAAATATCAATCCCTTATCTGATCTTGAAGGTCTCTAACACAATGGGCTATCATCTCTGCTTCTCATTTCTTCTCTCCCTCCTCTTTGTTTACAGAAACATCAATTATTGTGTCCATTTCTATTCCTTCTCTTCACCGATACCTGCCAATCTTCTATCTTCATGCACTGAACTTGTACTCTATAAATGGTCAGTTTGTAAATTCTTTTCCTTATCTTTTTAAAAAGTGGCAAATATGAAGGGGAGAGCAATAGTAATATTTATGTGCAGTGTCCCCTTTCAGAGCTAAGGGGTAGGCAAGGTAGATGGCAGTAAGAGATAATGACAAAAAGACTGAAAAAAGGAACAGCAACACAATAAAGGCAGGACATGCAGGTTCAGAAAATGGCTTTGAAAAGAAGAATAAAGGGCTGATAGCAGAGAGACTAATAAGATAGTTTTGCCTCAAGAAAAATCTTACAAACATTCTTAGGACTCCTCAGGATCACATCCTCCAATAAAAAACACTGAATCAATGCACAGCTACTTTATAATGATGACTTAAATAAAATACCAATGCATTCTTCTCTTAAATCTAACGAGTAAAATACACATGAAAGAAACTAAGTATTAAGCAGACACACATTTATGGTCACACATGACTTCTACCAAGTTCCTCACACCTGGCTTGTGGCAAAAACCTCCACTTCTGCAGCACTGCATATTACATGTTCACAGACTGTGCAAAGTAATCATCATAACCAACCTAAATAAGATGTAAGGAGTTTAAATGACCTCAATCATGTACTTGAAGACCAAAATAAGAATTATTAATGACACCTAGGCTGTTTTAAGATAGCCTTAAGCCTTGATCTTATCTCTAAGAAGAACATAATATTTACCACACAGTTGTTTGATAAATACATTTTAATTATGTCAGGTTCTTAGTAACCTCTGATAAGTCGAAGGTAACTACGAATACTTGGAGCCTCCCTACTTCAAAACGCAACTTTCCAAGCTCTTAATATTAACTCACGGTGTTAACCTCTTATATAGAGATAGTAGTCTTTACATAAGAGGTAACACCGTAAGTTAATATAGAGACTTATATAGAGACTTATAGAGTCTTATATAGACTGCTATCTTTACATAAGAGGTAAAGAGTCAAATCATTTAATCAACAAAGTATAATTAACCCCTACAAGAAATGAAGGATGTTAAGAATCTCAGGACTGAAAGAGAATTTATAAAGCATCTAATAACTAATACTTTTTTTGTTTTTTGGTGTTTTGTGTGTGTGTTGGTTTTTTGTTTGTTTTTTTGGTTTTTTTTTTTTTTTTTTTTTTTCGAGACAAGGTCTTACTCTGTTGCCCAGGCTGGAGTGCAGTGCCAAATGCCTTGATCTCCCAGGCTCAAGTAATCCTCCCACCTCAGTTCCCTAGTAGTTGGGACTACAGGCAGGCACAACCACACCTGGCTACTTTTTTCTATTCTTTGTAGAGATGGGGTTTTGCCATATGGCCCAGGCTGATCTCAAACTCCTGACCTCAAGTGATCCGCCCGCCTCAGCCTCCCAAAGTTCTAGGACTACAGGCATGAGCCACTGTGCCTGGCACTAGTAAGTATTAATATTAACAGTAGTTCTTGACCATTGTCTCACACAATACAAGCTATCATTAATCCTTCCTAATCAATAGTACTTGGGTGGAGAGGAGTAGTGAAAGAAAATGTGTAAATTTAAAAGAATTTAAAAAATCATGGCCGGGCGCGGTGGCTCACGCCTGTAGTCCCAGCACTTTGGGAGGCCGAGGCGGGCGAATCATGAGGTCAGGAGATCGAGACCATCCTGGCTAACACGGTGAAACCCCGTCTCTACTAAAAATACAAAAAATTAGCCGGGCGTGGTGGCAGGCGCCTGTAGTCCCAGCTACTCGGGAGGTTAAGGCAGGAGAATGGCGTGAACCCGGGACGTGCAGCTTGCAGTGAGCCGACATCGCGCCACTGCACTCCAGCCTGGGCGACTGAGCAGGACTCCGTTTCCAAAAAAAAAAAAAATCACTACCACCCTGAGAGCTGTGATCTGCTCTCTGGTTCAGACTCACTAATAACCAGCTACTACTTGGGTTCAACCACCTATACAGTAAAAAGATCTCCTTTAAAACATCCTTGCCAACTGCAGTCCCTCAGCCTCTGACTGAACACTTACTTCTAGAAAAGGGAGGTCAGTACTAAATGAATATTGTACTAAACTCAAAATATGCTATAAATGTAAAAGCCTGATGATGTTTTAAACTGTGTATTTTCATATCTGTTCTAGAGCATCCATAACTGTTTTAGAGTATCCATAGTAACTACATGATACCTGCTAATTTTAAACAACTAGATTTGCTAAAATGATATTATGTGGAACCAAGTTTCTGTCTATACATTATTTTCACTAACTGGTCCTGGTTGTAACCTCTGAAACTAATCCTTCCATTGGAGAGCCCATCTGATATTTAAAGACATACCTCCTAACCTCCCTATCCCCCAATCTTCTCTTTTCTACATTAAATGTCCCAATTCCTTCAACTGATCAGAAGACTGTCTATGAGTGGTAATGAGAACCTCAATCAGGGTACTGGTGAAAGGATTAGAAATGAGTAGATAAGGCCGGGCGTGGTGGCTCACACCTGTAATCCCAGCACTTTGGGAGGCCGAGGCGGGTGGATCACGAGGTCAGGAGTTCAAGACCATCCTGGCCAAGTTGGTGAAACCCTGTCTCTACTAAAAATACAAAAATTAGCCGGGCATGGTGGTGGGTGCCTGTAATCCCAGCTACTCAGGAGGCTGAGGCAGAGAACTGCTTGAACCCCGGAGGCAGAGGTTGCAGTGAGCCGAGATTGTGCCACTGTACGACAGCCTGAGCGACAAAGCAAGACTCCATCTTAAAAAAAAAGAAAAGAGTAGATAAAAGTAGCAAGTTGACATGGTAGACCGAGCAACATCATACAAATATATGGATGTGTATATGCCCACATACCAGAGAGGAGACTAAAGTGACTATGAGATTTCAGGTCTAATGTCTAGGAGCATAATGGTTCCATTAGCTGAAACAGGGAACCCAAGTAGAGAAGACTAAGGTGAAGATAGGAAATTCAGTTTAAGATACAGTGATTTTGAGGTATGTAATAAGTAAATATGAATGTTATCATGGTGCCTTTAAGAGATGACTGGGTAACTGGGGTTCTGCCCTCATAAATAAATTAATTCACTCATGGATTAATGGATTAACAGGTTATCAGAGGAGTGGAACTGGTGGCTTTACAAGAAGAGAAAGTGAGACTGGAGCTAGTGTGTTTAGCTCCTTCACCATGTGATGCCCTGCACCACCTCAGGACTCTGCAGAATCCCCACCAGCAAGAAGGCCCTCACCAAATGTAGCTCCTCAACCTTGGACTTTTCAGCTTTTGTTAACTATAAGGAATAAATTCCTTTTTTACATAAATTACCCAGTTTCAGTTATTCTGTTATAAGCAATGAAAGACAGACTACGACAATGGATAAGACCATTTCCAAGACCCATTATATTAGTTACTCTTGCCAAGAAAAAGGTGCATCCATATTACTGAAGCTAGTACTACATGTAATTTAAACACAAAATATCACATTTATTCATCAAGTATTTGAGTGGTTACTCCTACAAGGCACTGAGGGAGATACAATGAGCCATGAAACCCAGTATCTGCCCTCATTAATCTTACATTCTAATAAGCAAAATGGTTATAACTAACCATAAGGCTGAATGTGGTTATATCTCACAATAGAGATATAAAGTATCATAACTATTAAGAGACATATTTTCCCCCTTTCCAATGAGAATATTCACACATGAATAATATCACAGGGTAAAATACAGTCACAACAAGTATTCTTCAAATACAAAGAAGGACTTAACAAAAAACATAAATCTTTCCATTCTGGTTATAAATACAGGAAAACATTAGACCTATTACTTGGGAATTAGTTAAAGTACCCCCAACAATTATGTCTATTGTTAAAGATTAATGCTTGAATTGTATCATCAGTTAAAAGAAGAGCATTGTTTAAAATGTTCACAAACACAATTGTTTTGGTTTACAAATGGAATCACTTGATGTCACTTTTCTTGCACTCCTAATTTTAAATATCATTATAACTGAAAAAATAGAGCTACAAGTTTAGAGCTTACAAGTCTTAAAACTTAATATTCTCCAGCTGATATAACTGTTCTAGAGTTCTCTATAACTATATATTACAAAGTTTTAAATTATGTCACTTTAGTAGTTTTACAGATAACTGATTTTACAAAGAGTATATTAAAAAGTAATTTAGTAGGAACCTAACTATATTTTACATTCATAACATAATCACACAGAAAAAATAATTCAAATAACTTTGAACACCTATTTTGACTATATATACCTTTAGTGGGATATATTCTAAGAACATAAAATGGCAAAGAAATCTTTACTTGGTAAATCTGTTGCTGGAAGCGGTATCAGTCAGTCTAGTAATTCCAAAACTATTTTATGTGTGTTGTAGGATAGGTTAGATGAGTAAAAATAGTGATATAATTGAGAATCAGAATTCTCTCTTTGGGAAAACAGAGATATAAACAGGAATTGGAAGGAAGTGATGAGAACTCTGCAGTGTTGAATTTGAATTGAAGGTATCCTATGAACTCATGATTTCTTAAAAAATGTATATGTTGGCCGGGTACAGTGGCTCACGCCTGTAATCCCAGCACTTTGGGAGGCCGAGGCGGGTGGATTACCGGAGGTCCGGAGTTCGAGACCAGCCTGACAAACATGGAGAAACTCTGTCTCTACTAAAAATACAAAACTAGCTGGGTGTGGTGGCACATATCTGTGATCCCAGCTACTCGGGAGGCTGAGGCAGGAGAATCGCTTGAACCCAGGAGGCAGAGGTTGCGGTGAGCCAAGATCCGCCATTGCACTCCAGCCTGGGCAACAAGAGCAAGACACTGTCTCAAAAAAAAAAAAAGTGTATATGTGTGTCCATTTAAAGGGTCTAGAACCAATGACACCCCAGTAGCAAAGAGCATATTCAATACCCAGATCTTCATTTCTTTTATTTCTTTTTTTTTGAGACGGAGTCTCGCTCTGTCGCCCAGGCTGGAGTGCAGTGGCGCGAACTCGGATCACTCCAAGCTCCGCCTCCCGGGTTTACGCCATTCTCCTGCCTCAGCCTCCCTAGTAACTGGGACTACAGGCGCCCGCCACCACGCCCGGCTCATTTGTTTTTTTATTTTTTAGTAGAGATGGGGTTTCACCGTGTTAGCCAGGATGGTCCCGATCTCCTGACCTCATGATCCACCCGCCTCGGCCTCCCAAAGTGCTGGGATTACAGGCATGAGCCACCACGCCCGGCCCAGATCTTGGTTTCTAAGAATCATTTTCCACTAAAATAAACCAGGACTCTGTGGTAAAATGGCTGATTCCATGTATTGAGCAGGAAATTTACAAGGTGAGGCTGGAACATCTTATTGTGCAAATAGGAGTAAGAAAGTGCTCAAACACCAATGTGGACATATCCAAAGTTCATGGGAACCAGCTTGAAGGATCTACTACTGACCAGATTTGAGATAATTTCATCACCAAAAGGAATGATGGTAGCAAATTATAACGCACTGCATAGATTTTGAAAAAAAGGATACTTGGGTACATAGTGATACTAAAATAAAAAAGAGAAAGCTCTTATTTAGAGAAGAGAGCCAGCAAATACATGTAGGAATGACAGAAGTGGGAAATCACTATTTGGCAACCACCAATGCTTTTATCAATGGCTACTAAAATCACTGGATAGGAAAACAAAACCTGCAAAACAGAATATCCACATGACCTCAATTTATCACCCCTACAGATTACTAAATACAAAAGGGAAAACATACTTTCGGAATATAAAAATCTGGCTAAACTAAGTGATCAAACTTAATCACCAATAATGGAATAAACGATCATGTTAATCCTAATATGATTAAATGGAAAGTTCAAAACATCACCCATGTAATAGTAAAAAAAAGAAAAAAGAAAAAAAAAGAAAAACCCACAACTCTTCAATCTGAAACTCATTGTGAGGAAAAAATCAGATAAATCAATTTTGTGAGGCATTCTACCTGAAGACAAAAAAAGAAAGAAATGATAAAGACTGTTCTAGATAAAATAGACATATAAGTACTAAATACAATTAATGTCTTTAATTGGATTCGGTATTTTTGTAATGGTATAATGACATTACTGGGATATTTGGAAAAATCTAATTGTTGAATATGGACTGCATATTAGACAATATTATCATATCAAGGTTAAATTATTTGGATATGCTAATGGCATTATAGTTATATAAGAGAATGTGCTAGTTCTTAGGAGATGCATGATGAATTATTTGGGGGTAAAGTGTCACGTTGCCACCTTACTTTCAAATAGTTCAGCAAGAAAAAAAGGTGTGTGTGTGTGTGTGTGTGTGTGTGTGTATTTATAGAGAGAGAAACAGCACTTGTCTAACAGCAAGGAATGAGAGCAAAAGAGGCACTATGTTAACAACTAGTGAATCTAGGTAAAAGGATGTACAGGTATTTGTCATACTACCATTTCAATGTTTTTACAGGTTTGAAAGTAAAAAGAAAAAAATAAGGGAAAAAGTAGAAGTTAGGTTGATTTTAGAGCAGCTGATCAGACTTCATAAAGCCTAACTACTCTTCACCCTATTCAATAAGAGCTAAAAGCAAGTTCAAACTTCGAAAAGGTTTGGCTAAAAATAAAGGTAATAATCCTAACAAACAATAAGTAATCACAAACTAATCACCATAAGTTTTCTATCACAGCTGTAAACTACACATAATCTCAGAACTCTGTGAAAGATGTTATGTGCTGGTGTATCTGGGACAATAGTGAATAAGCAAAACTATTTTATATATTTTCTCCAAATCTAAATACCAAATAAATTTTTTTTCTCAAATTGAGTTTTATTAGTTACAAGGTATCCTAAAATTAAAATGGTGTCACAGGAGTCAAGATGATCTTGAACCCAGTATCACTATTATAATAATGATAATAAACACTTAAAATCTGTACCAAGTATTTTATTAACCTATGTATATATATCATTTCATTTAATTCTCACAACAATTCTATAAGGCTGGCACTATTATTATCCTCATCTTATAAATTTAAAAAAAAAAAGGCTTGGAAAAGCTGTATAACTTCTTCAAGGTCATACTGCTAGTATACAGCAAATAGAGACCATGAATCCAGGCAGTCTGACACCAAAGTCTCTTTGCTCTATACACTCTACCACTTTACTAAGAAATGTAAAATTTAAACAATAAACTATAAATCACTACTGTTTGGGTTCAATATCTATCAAAAATTACATGAATGAAGCATTTCAGAGAAAAATCACAAGTATGTATTTTTCCCTAATGCATGTATATTTATGTATGTACCAAATGAATGAAGTTAGAATTTAACCAGATGCCAGTTTACTACCAAATCTCAAGTGAAAATAAAGATGGCATGTAACTGCATTATTCAGTTACCTATTCATATACATGGTTTAATATATTACAGATAGATTCAAAACAGAGACCAACATATTTCCAGATGCTTTCATGTAGAACCCCACCCCTGCTCAATCAAGAAAAAATGATACCAAAAAAACCTATTTTAGGCATAGTATTACTCAAATATACAAAACTACAACAATGACACAAAAGGGTAAAAATAACTAAGAAATTAACCTTAAACACTGCTACCACAACAAAAAATACTAATAAACAAAGCATGTTTCCCAAACCTGGTCCTCTTTCGATGTTCTCTACCTCGGTGAAGGGTGCAACAATCCTTCCAGTTATATAAGCCAAAAACCTAAGATTAGCCCATGATATCTTCCTCTCCCTCACCTTCCATATCTAATCCATCGCCTAGTTCCACCTCCTGAACACCTCTGGAATCCATCTTACCACCACCACCTTGTCCAAAATACCATCTCTCAATTGGGCCACTCCAACAATCTTCTAACTGGCCTCTCCCCATCCCCACTCTTATCCCCTCTGTAATCAGTTCTTCCTCTGTGTAACATCAAGTCCTTTTTTAATAGCATTTACCACAGTTGTAACTTTAAATTTCTTTGACTATTTGATTTATGTCTGCCTCCTCTGTTAGTAAATTCTATGAGGGTAAACACCGTATTTACTCACTACTATACCACTGTGGCCTAGAAGAGTGTCTAGTTAATAAATAAATGCTAAATGATTGAATGCATGTCAAATATTACAATTTTACTTATATATAGTCCAAAAAATAAAAATAAAGTGCTTTATAAGGCTCACCAATTATTCTATATCACAGATTTTCACTTGTTTTTTTTTTTTTTGAGACAGGGTCCTAATTTCTACCTACCAATCCCTAACCACTATTTAAATTCCACATTAGATCTCATCTTCATGAAACATTCCCTAGTTATCTCTCTTCTCACCTTTAACATTCTAAAACACTCCCGTAAAATCTAATACATATTGACTATATTTTCTGCTTCTTGAAGGGAAAGTTTACATCTCATACATTCTGCTAGAGTATAAGCTCCCTAAGAGCAGGGACTTTTCTTGTTCACTCTATATCCCCAGCACCTTGAAGAGTGTCTGGTATGAATAGCTGCTCAGTAAGCATATGTTGATTTAACGCTCTTTATATATTTCAGGATAGAGCACAGATCCTTGCAGCTGTTGTACAGTGGGAAGAGTCGAAAAGAACTGAATTAATTTCCTTAAATTCTTCAAGCTTCAGTTTTTTCATCTGTTAAATGTAAATAATACTCAATAGCTTAGTTGGAATAACTGCGCTAATGCTTTAAAAGTATCTATGCAGAGCTGAGGACAAGAGGATACTCTTACAAACAAATGTTTTGGTGATTTTGTGACAATAGTTAAATAGTAAGTAGTCACTAAATTCCTACTAAATGAATAAAATCTCAGGAAAAATATTAAAAGATTGAGTAATGGCTACCGTATCATTTTTTTCAATAAAAAATTATATGAGTAAATTTATTCTGAAATATATTTCGCCCCAAATCTTAAGCATGGCTGAAACCATTTCAGCATTTTGTGCATTAATTAGGAATAATCCCAATTTAACATTGTACCAGTATTAATATTTATATTTTACTGACATGTATAGATCATACTTGATAGCTTAAAAAAGAATGATAATCTTAGTATAAGAACCTCTTTAGTGCAATAATTGGAATAGAAAACGAGCTGCAAACTCATTTGAGTTACGTGGTTCCCCAGAAAGCCAGAAAATTTCTGCCTTTTTATAAAACATTAGTGAACAGAATACGATGCTGTTCACCAGAACCATCAAAACATCTAGAAATACTTCATAACCAATCACCATAAATACATTTTTCCAAATACTTGAATCCTATTTTAAAGAAAAAGAGCATTAATTAAATGGCTTTTAATGACTTTTTGCTAAATTATACAATTCTTTAGATGGGCCACTTTTTGACATGTGGTTCTAAAAATTTTATAGCGAATGAACTGGTAATTCAATATAGCCTCAGATTATTGGACTAAATAGAAACTCTTCCTGTTCAAAGAAGAAGCTTTATCAATTTGAAACTCAGAAAATACATAGACTTTACCTTTCAAAGCCTTTCCACTCCCTCTGGGTATTCTCAATGGCTCATAATCTAATTACAAGTCACAAGCAAGCAAGAAGATCATTCCCTTGTCTCTTTCTGCCATCAACTGACACAAAATCATTGCCAAAAACCCACCGGGGACATATGGTCCGAGCAGGAAAACATAAGAAAACTCCTAAGTAATTCGGATATAAAAAGATGTAAGACGAGGTATTCTTCTGTAACTATAGGGTAGCAGTGAGCCCCATGTGGGTAAATAACCAATACAAAACGAAAAGGTAAGCCAAAGAAATCACAAGAAATATAAACTCAATAAGCAGTGATGCTGAGTTGACCGCTGAAGGTTCTCATATATGAATATAGTCATCATATGTAAGAATTTATTCTACACCTCCAACCTCAAAAGCCCTTAGATGTGGGTAGGGTTGGGAGAGTTCACGGTGAGCGGGAACCAAATGAAGTGAATGAACGTTAATATTTAGATGGAAAGGCATTAATATATGCAAGGCAGTGTGTTATGGCTTGAAGCAGTAACAAACACCAAAAAGGGAGAAAGAGGCTAGGAATGAGAACAGAGAGACAGTGGGGATCCAGTTATTATTATTATTTCCCTTTTTTTATTTTTTAAACGAGGAAAAACAGGGCCGACAGAGCACTGGCATGAGGAGGGGTCAAATGGATGCGATAGATCAGGGGAAAGAGTCTTGCCTGCAACATCTAAGAAAACCACAAGGAAAGGAGGAACAGCTGCCCACAGTTAGGCTTACGGTTTATCTCTGCAACCCAGGACAAAGCGAGGAAGAGTTAGAAGACAAATGACACTAGAAAGGAGAGACAAGGAAGGCGCCAAAACCCTCAGAGAACCCAGATGGTTGGCCACAGGGTCTTCACTGAAGGCGGACCCCCGCAAGAAACCCAGTCATTCGGGGACCAGAGACGCTAAGTCCCAAACTTCTTGACTCCTTTAGCCTCAAGCCGATCCCTCACCGAAAGAGAAGGACTGGAGAACTGTAAAAATGTGCAGGAGCCACCAACCCGGCAAATGCTCCAGCTCTAGCAGCAGCCGCCACAAAACCAGCCCGCACACACGCAGACGTTCCGACCTCAGCGCCGCAGCTACAGGTACTTTGAGCACCCCGGCCACCGTAGTAAGAGGAACCGCCTCCGCGTCAAATCCAACAGATCAGCCACTTCCGGGATACGAAAGCCTTGCGATTGGCAGTAGCGATAGCAGCGGCGTAAAGGCCTCTGCTATGCTTACTTTATCCATCCCTTTTTCCCACCTGTTCGCCACCCCAAGCCGCTAATCCACCAATGCAGCAAGCGCAGAACCAAGAGAAAGTATCCGTCTGTGAGCATTGTCTCTCTGATAGACAAACCACATTACGGCTGCCATAAATTCCTCTCGAGCACTTGGACTTCAACTACCAGCAGGCCATGCAGCATCACGCCCTTGCCTCTGGCGTAGGAACTGCAAGATCCAGCATGCATTGCGGCCCTCCTTCCTCGCACTCAGGACCAAGATAGAGCCAACCCAAGCCTCACTTTGATTTAAAAAAAAAAAAAAAAAAAAAGCCAGGATGCCTTCTTTTCCTGTTGTGAAGGAACTCTAAGCCAAGCCATTATTAGGACTGTAGGTTATTTATAAAACATCAAGGGATATGTGCACTCATTTTCCATATTCAGATTATTTTCAAGCATTAAAACACAGGACAGTCGGGCGCGGTGGTTCGCGTCTGTAATCCCAGCACTTTGGGAGGCCGAGGCGGGTGGATCGCTTGAGGTTGGGAGTTCGAGACCAACCTGGCCAACATGGTGAAAGCCCGTCTCTGTTAAAAAATTAAAAAATTAGCCGGGCGTGGCGGCGGGCGCCTGTAATTCCAGCTACTCGGGAGCCTGAGGCAGGAGAATTGCTTGAACCCGGGAGGCAAAGGTTGCAGTGAGCAGAGATCGCGCCACTGCACTCCAGCCTGGGCGACAGAGCGAGGCTTTGTGGGGAAAAAAAAAAAAAAAAGAAGGAAAAGAAAAAGAAAGAAAGAAAAAAGGACGGTCCGAAGATGCTTTTTATAACGTGGAAATTTTTGGCCAGGCGCGGCGGCTGACGCCTGTAATCCCAGCATTTTGGGAGGCCGAGGCGGGCGGATCACTTGAGCCCAGGAGTTCCAGACCAGCCTGGCCAACATGGTGAAATCCCGTCTCTACTAAAAATATAAAAAATTAGCCGGGTGCGGTGGCGCGCGCCTGTAGTCCCAACTACTCAGGAGGCTGAGGCGGGAGAATCGCTTGAACTCGGGAGGCGGAGTTTTCAGTGAGCCAAGATTGTGCCTCTGCACTCCAGCCTGGGCGACAGAGCAAGACCCTGTCTCAAAAAAGTAAAAATAAATAAATAAATAAATAAATAAGTGGAAATTTTTATCTTCACTCCTAAATGATGTCAAGAGAAATACTGTTACTGTAAAATGTAATCCTATGCCGTTTTACAGTACCGCAGATTTTGTTGGAGCAAGGACTACCAGACATGCTTCTGAATTACATAGGAAATTATACTAAAAACTAAAAATAAAATATGAAGTCTATGCCACCGGACTATGAAACCACATGGGAATGAAAACCTTCAAGAATGAAGAGTTGAAAAGTTCAAAATTAAACTTGAAATTTTTTCAATTTTTTAGTGGATTTGGTGGTTTAAATTTTTTTTTATTCTCACAGAAACAGGTAGCTGGATCTATTTATTTTTTATTCATGTACTTGGACAGCTAAATAACAAAACAACAAACAAAGGATATGATAAGATCACAAATGGCACACTTATTAGAGTGAGCAAAGTAGTTTTCTTGCATGATTCCATAGCTTGTGGTTTCCTGTTTCGAAATCCCCAAACTCTGTTTTGATTTTTTTTAGGAGAGAGAGCATGCATCTAACAAGCTGTTTAGATGCCTTTTTGTAACTTTCATAAAGACCTGGATTACAAGAATGCATGTATTTTATTTTTGGTATTGTGCATTAACAGGCCATGAGAAACAATGCTTGGATTCTTAAAATAACTATATATACAAAAGTAAATTGTGTGTATACTACAGACTTGGGTTTTCTGTAGATTTGCCACAACAAATTTTAATTGGTTAGAAAAAAAGGAGTAGAGTACCTTTCCTTTTTACAACTTCACACAGAAATCACAGGAGGAAACTATATTCTGCAACACTGACATGGCATCAGCTGTCATACAAACTGCTTTCCAACTCTAGTGCGTTAAATTATGCAGCGCTAGCAAGTAAATATTTAAAATCTATGATCATGGAAAATAATCTGCTGTTTTCCATGCTCATGCACCAAAACAATATGAATGCAGTGAGAGAGGACATTTCCATTGGAATGATTCAAAGGTAATGTTGATAAACTATAATTAGGTTATCTGATATTCATAGGTGTTTGCCGTAAATAAACACAAAATTGCATCCACTTATTAGTGATGTTATTAAGGAAGCTTTAAAAATATGCTAAATATTTGATACACATATTTCTAAAGTCGTTTCCATGATCAATTGTGTAAATGAACATGGGAGTTTAAAGAGTACATAATTTATGTAATAGACTTTATGTTTTTTGAAGAGATTCTTACAGCTGCAGCACTCAGACAGAACATTCTCTCCTCTAAATGTGTCTTCACATTCCAATTCAGCCAATTGCCAACCATGCAAGAGTTAAAACTGAAGAAGCTGTTCGTTTTAGTTCAACAAAAATAGGATGAGTGCTACTAAGGGCAAGGCTCTCTGTCTGGGCACTATAAGCTGTTTATGAAACACTGATAGTTTTGGAAATTAGTTAAGATTTAAAGGGAAATTAAAAGCATACATGAGCTTTATCAGAATAGAAAACAAAGTAAATATGTGTAACACTGACTTTTAATAATCATCACACATTTGGTTAATTGAAACTTATAATAGCTAATATACCTTCTTAAAGGCAGGATCCGCATCTTAAACATCTGTGCCCCTCCCAGCTCTATGCACAGTACTTTGTGCAGAGTAACTGGCTCTCAATGAGTGTTTGTGGAAGTTCACAGTGATGACTAGGCTGGGTGCAGTAGCTCATGCCTGTAACCTCAGTACTTTGGGAGTCCAAGGCGGGTGGATCACTTGAGATCAGGAGTTCAAGACCAGCCTGGACAACATGGTGAAACTCCGTCTCTACTAAAAATACAAGAAAAATTAGCCAGGCGTGGTGGCGTGCGCCTGTAGTCCCAGCTACTCGGGAGACTGAGGCAGGGGAATTGCTTGAACCCGGGAGGCAGAGGTTGCAGTGATCCAAGATTACACCACTGCACTCCAGCCTGGGCGACAGAGCATGACTCTGTCTCAAAAAAAAAAAAAATTCACAGTGATGACCGAGGCCCCGAAACTGCCTTTTCATGAATACTGCGTAGTTTTAATGTAAGCTGTTTCTAACTCTTGTGCTTTATTTTTTTAATTAGTAATTCAGGTTGTATAATAAAATAACTATTAAAACCAGAATAATCAGAATGTCACATTCAATAATCATGAAAGCAACAATTTACATACACACACACACACACACACTGCTTAGTATATGTGTGTGCGTACTTGTGTATACGTGTGTGTGTGTGTGTACTTATATATAAAAAACACATTTATAATATATAGGTAACATTTATCTTAAGAGTCAAGCCCTTTCTAAAATGTCATCGTATTCCAGGCATATACTTTGAAAGTATACCAACCATTCTAATAGCATTGATTGTGAGGCAGCTCCAGATTTTTGTTAGGACACTTTTACTTCTTAACTTCTATCAAGTGTATTTCTTATCCATCTCCTTCCTGGACCAGGAAAAGATGAAGATTCTATTAAATAAATGTATACCATGAATGATTCATTGGGAATGTTATGTTAAGCGACATTGAACTCAGCCTGGATGGAATGAATACCTTGTAGACTTCTAAAGGCTAAAAAATTATTTTAAAGAACCCGGGAGGCGGAGCTTGCAGTGAGCCGAGATCGCGCCACTGCACTCCAGCCTGGGTGACAGAGTGAGACTCCATCTCAAACAAAAAAAATTAGAAAAAAGAAAACTTGGTGAAAACCTTTCCTCTTTTCCAAGTAATCTTATTTCTATCCCCTCTCTTATATCTTCAACCTCTTTCTCTCTCTCTCAACTATGCTCCCTTTACTTCAACAAACAAATGTGCACAGAATCACCATAATTGTGAAAGCACCTTCAGTGGACTCAGCTTTCCTGCTAAATGCAGTCACTCCCAATGCCCAGGCTAGAGTGCAGTGGTACGATCACAGCTCACTGCAGCCTCGACTTTCCAGGCTCAGGTGATTCTCCCACCTCAGCCTCCTGAGTAGCTGGGACTACAGGTACATGCCACCAAATCCGGCTAACTTTTTGAATTTTTTTGTAGAGATGGGGTTTCCCCACATTGGCCAGGCTGGTCTCAAACTGCTGGGCTCAAGAGATCCTCCCACCTCAGCCTCCCAAAGTGCTGGGATTACAGGCGTGAGCCACTGCACTCGGTCTGGTCTATTCTATCTTCTCTTTTTCCTTTCATAACCACACTTCATCAAGTGCTACAAAGTAAACCTTAGCCTTGACATGCAGCATGGGATCTCTTCACAGCAGCTAGTATTTACTGAACACCCACACCTATGCTGGAAATATAGACAGAATTCAGTAAGGAGCTTATGGTCCCTCAATACAATGTGATAAATGTTATGCTAAAAGTAAGGACAAGACTTTAAGAGAATGAAGAAGGTCAGTTACTCTCAAATTGAGTGAGGACCCTAGAGGAGGAAGTTCCCAAGATGATTTAAATGACAAAAATAAGAATTAACTAGCTGTAGAAGAGGGAGGTTCAGCCAGTTTAAGACAACCTGTAAATTCATTATAGCTGGAACAAGAGAGTGGGGTGAATAGTATGATATAAGGCTGGAAAGACAAACTGGAGCTATTTCACAAAAAGACTTTGTAGACCAGGCGTGGTGGCTCACGCCCGTAATCCCAGCACTTTGGGAGGCCAAGGTGGGTGGATCACCTGAGGTCAGGAGTTCGAGACCAGCCTGGCCAACATGGTGAAACCCCATCTCTGCTAAAAATACAAAAATTAGCCAGGTGTGCTGGTGGGCGCTTGGTAATCCCAGCTACTCAGGAGGCTGAGGCAGGAGAATTGCTTGAACCTGGGAGGAGGAGGCTGCAGTAAGCCAAGATTGCACCACTGCACTCCAGCCTGGGTGACAGAGGGAGACTCCGTCTCAAAAAAAAAAAAAAAAAAAAAAAAAAAAAAGACTGTATACTATGATACTAAGACTGTATACTTTAACCTAAATATAAAGAGAACCATTTAGGAGTGACATAACTAGATTGCATTTTAGTCTACTATTTGCTGTATGAAGAATGGATTGGGCTGGCAAGACCAATTAGGAGATTGTTTTCATAATTCAGTTTTTTACAATGAGAGATCTGAAATAAAGTACTCTAGGGGCGGAAAGGTATTATATCTTTCCTCCCTGCCATAAGAGTCATGGCCAACACTCCTGTAACAAAAGACAGGTTAACAAAAGAAAAGCATTACAAATTTATTTAATCAAAGTTTTATGTGACACGGGACCCTTCTGAAATGAAGACCCAAAAACCCAGGGAAAACTGCCCCTTTTTATGCTTAGATTTGATGAAGAGTGGACAGCCATGGAGAAATGCAATTAGACAAAAAGGAAATTATCTAATAGTAATTGAGTGGGGAAACCCAGTAGAGCCTGACTGTTCAGATTCTTCCTGCCCTCTTTGTGTGACATTCTTCCCTCCTGGGTACAGGTCAGGACTCCTTCTGGAATGTGGGTCTTATGATTTACTTTCAGTCGAGGTAGGTCAGAGAATTCCTTTCAGGCCAGCTCTTACACTGAAAGGTGGGGGAAGGTTAGAGTAGTATTTCTAGATTTTATGGCAGACTTTGGGGGAAAGGCGTTCTAGTTCCTATGACCTGCCTTGGGGAAGAGGAATTCTAGGTTCTATGGCCTCCCTTGGGGAGAAAGGCAAACCGGAGAAAGAAGAGCAGGAGAAGGTCAGAAAGAGATTTTGCATCTGAGCCTTTCCAGTGTTCTTCAAAGCACTCAGCATGCCAAAGTGTCATCGTTTGGGGTGTTATCTTCCAAGCCCCAACAGTAGAGATAAGAGAAGAGTGAAATATTGGCCAGAAATATTAAGATAATAGAGTCAAGAGAAAGTGTGAGTGAGAGAAGGAATCAAGGGAGACTCCCACATTTCTGGCTTTTCAATTTTCCACATGTTGAGTTAGGAATGCTTAAGAGTTGTCCATATAGCTACGCCCAACAGACAGTTAGATACAGAGCTCAAGGGGAAGATTTGAGCTGAATATATAGCTTCTCAAGTCATCCACTTTACAGGACAACTGAAACCATGAGCATAGGTAAGATTATAAGCCATGTGGATGGGGATATGAACTAGTAACCAGGAAGTCAATAGGTGATAGCACAGATAGAGTGGAGAATGACATATGCAAATGTCATGGAATCCTTCAAAGGAATGGGATTTTAACATAAGAGCAGAGGAGTACTGGTTCAGGTGTAGCATTGGAGAATGAAAAGAGAGCTGAACTCAACCACTGACCCAGTATTCTGAATGAATGAGACCAAAAAACACAAAAAGCATAAATTCAAGGTTGCAGGGGAACAAAATCTTCAGGGGAAAGTCAGCATTCATTAAGACCAGGAGGCAAAGCCAGAATTCTGAGGAAAATGAGGATGGAGCAAATTAGAACATCAAATAAGGAATGGAGAGATTCAAACGGAAAAAAATATCAGGAGACTGGACCGTGGTAAAGGCACAGGTGACAACACAAAAAGAAAGAGATGACCAAGAGGACATAATATGAAGTATTATTCACCAGTCAAGGCTTCAAAACAGAAATCCTATATAAATCTGAGGTTCACCCTAGCCTGATGAATGGTACAGCATGGATAAACTTTGAGCATTTTGTTAAGTGAAATAAGCCAGCTATGAAAAGACAAATACTGCCTGATTCCACCTGTATGAGGTACCTAGCATAGTAAAATTTACAGAGACAGAAAGTAGAATGGTGGTTGTCAGGGGCTGGAGGGAGTGAAGAATGAGGAGTCAGTGTTTAATGGGTACAGAGTTTCCAATTTGTATGATGAAAAGAGTTCTAGAAATGGATGGTGGTGATGGCTGCATATGAATGTACTTAAATGCTACTGAACTATACACTTAAAAATGATTACAAAATTGGGAGGCCGAGGTGGGTGGATCACAAGGTCAGGAGTTCGAAACCAGCCTGGCCAATATGGTGAAACCTCATTTCTACTAAAAATACAAAAATTAGCCAGGCGTGGTGGCAGGCACCTGTAGTCCCAGCTACTTGGGAGGCTGAGGCAGGATAATCACTTGAACCCAGGAGGCAGAGGTTGCAGTGAGCCAAAATCATGCCACTGCACTCTGGCCTGGGCGACAGAGCGAAACTCCGTCTCAAACAACAAAAAAAATGATTACAACAGTAAACTTGATGTTATGTGTATTTTACTACACATACACACACACAAATCAGCCTGGTGCAGTAGATCACACCTACAATTCCAGCACTTTGGGAGGCCAAAGTGGGAGGATCACTTGAGGCCAGGACTTCAAGACCAGCCTGGGCAACAGAATGAGACCTCATCTCTATAAAAAATTTTAAAATTAGCTGGGCATAGTAGTACATGCCTATATTCCCAGCTACTTGGGAGGCTGAGGCAGGAGGATCACTTGAGTCCAGGAGTTCGAGGCTGCAGTGAGCTATGATCATACCACTGCACTGAAGCCTGGGTGACAAAGCAAGAGCTTGTCTCTAAAATAATAAAAAACAAACAAAAAATTGGAAGGAAAAAAAAGCAGTGCATGCCAAAACCATGCGATGACAGAAGAATGTTCTCTCCAACAAATGGTGATGGGACAAATGAAGTTGGACTCCTACCTCATACAATATACAAAAATTGAATTAAAATAGATCAAATACATAAATATGAGTTAAAATGATAGAACTTTTAGAAGAAAACATACAAGTAAATCTTCATGGCCTCAATTTGGTAATGGCTTCTTAGATATGATACCAAAATAACCAAGAAAGAAAAAATACATAGGCCAGGCATGGTGGCTCATATCTGTAATCCTCACAGTCTGGGAGGCCAAGGTGGGAAGACTGCTTGAGCCCAGGAGTTTGAGATCAACCTGGGCAACATAGCAAGACCCTCTCTCTACAAAAAAATTTTTTTAAATTAGCTGGGCATGCTGGTATATGCCTGTAGTCCCAGCTACTTGGGAGGCTGAGGCAGGAAGATGGCTTGAGCCCAGGAGTTTGAGTCTGCAATGAGCTGTGATCAACACTGCACTCCAGCCTGGGTGACAGTGCAAGACTCTGTCTCAAAAAAAAAAAAAAAAAAAAAGGAAAGAAGAAAAAATAGATAAATTGGACTTCCTCAAACTGAAAATGTTCACTCATCAAAGGACAGTGAAAAGACAACCCACAGAATGGGAAAAAATATTTGCAAATTATGTATCTGATAAGGATATAATATTCAGAATAAAGAACTCTTACAGCTCAACAACAAAAATATAACAACCCAATTAAAAAACAGGCAAAGGACTTGAATAGACATTTCTCCAGATGAGACATACAGGTGGCCAATAAGCACATGAAAAGATGCTCAACATCACTAATCAACAGGGAAATAAAAATCAAAACCACAATGAGATATCACTTCTGTTCTAAGAATATAGATGTTGAATATGGTGTAGTAAAGTTGGTGCAACCACAGGAGAGGAGGACAAGGCTTGAAAGGAAGTGTGTCATACTCACAAGTCCCAGAGGGGAGGGTGGTCATCTCATGTCCCACAGGGCAACGTGAGAAGTACCAGGTTTGGACCAGTGGCAGAAGACAAGAGCAAGGGGAAAATCTAGGTCAGAGTCTTTTTGGAGTTTCCATGGTAAAGACAAAGCAGGGCAGAGTAAATAGTTTAGGATTGGCTAGTTTGAATAATTCCAGGAGGCTATGGGCTATGGGCGTTATCTCCAGTTGCCTGGTACCTGGCTCTGGGACATTCAGGATGGGGAAGCATTGGCTTGTGTGTGACAATTAGATAAGGAGATGGGTGATACGGTGAATAGATGCTGGATTGGTTGGTTTGTGTGAAAGGCATGCTCCTAGGCAAGTTGTTGTTATCTTTAGGAATTAGTTAGCCTGAGAAGGCTAATCTCTCCCAGAGTCAGTAAGGCTCTTGAATACCAGAACATCATGAATACAGAACATAGGAAAATATAGTTAAAATAACATTGACCCTGTACAGATGCCAAACAGAAAAACACAGAATCAAAGAAAACACAGTTAGAACGTATTAGGATGGCTATAATAAAAAAGTGAAAAATAAGAAGTGTTGGCGAGAATAAGATGAAATTAGAACCCTCATACATTTTTGATAAGACTGTTTAATGGTGCAGTCATTGTGGAAAACAGTTTGGACATTTCTCAAAAAGAGTTACCTCAATAGAGTTACCATATAGCCTAACAATTCCACTCCTAAACATATTTCCAAAAGGATTGAAAACAGGGACTCAAACAGATACTTGTATGCCAATGTTCATTGCAGCATTATTCACAATATCCAAAAAGTGGAAATAACCCAAATGTCCATCCACAGATGAATGGATAAACAAAATGTCATTTACCTATACAAAGAATATTATTTGGCTATAAAAAGGGGTAAAGTACAGATATAACATGAGTGAACCTTTAAAGGGAAAGAAGACAGCTAAGAGAAAAAAGCTAAGGGAAGGAAGACAGCTACAAAAGGCAACATATTGTATGATCTGATGTATATGAAATATACAGAATCAGCAAATCCATAAAGATAGAAAGCAGATTCGTGCTTTCCAGGGCCTGGCGGAGGGGCAAATGAAGAATGACTGCATAGTGGACATGGAGTTTCTTTTTGGAGTGATGAGAACAATATGGAAGTAGATAATGGTGATGATTGTGCAACACTGAGAACTCATTAAATGCCAATTAGCTGTATAGCTTGAACTGGCTGAAATGGTGAATTTCTGGTGGCTATGAGGAGAGACTCCTTCTGCTTGAGAAAAGGAGAGGGAAGAATAGAGTGGGCTTTGCTTGCACCTTAGGTACCAGTTTGGCCACAGTGGGGAAGAGCACCAAGTGGGCATTTGGGGTCCCTGATTCCAGGCCTTGGCTCGTGGACAGCATTTCTGGACCTACCCTGGGCCAGAAAGTGGCCCGTTGTCCTGAAGGGTGAGTCCTAGGCCTGGCAGCACTCACTACAAGCTGACTGAAGAGCCCTTGAATCTTAAGGGAACGTTGGGAGTACCCTGGATTACTCCCCATGGGCCTGTGGTGATGGTGGACATGGGTAGAGACACCTCTGCCTGAAGAAAAGGGAGGGAAAAAATGGGAAGGACTTTGTCTTGTGGTTTTAGTGTCAGTTTAGCTGCAGTAGAACAATACCAGGTAGATTTTTAAGGTTTCCAGTTCTGGGCCCTAGCTCCCAGACAGCATTTCTGGACCTGTGTATGGTGGAACTGCTGCCCTGAAGGGAATGACACCAGACTGGCTGGCTTCATCACCTGCTTATTGTAGAACCTAGGGTTGTGACCAAACATAGGCAGCATCCAGATAGTTGTTATAGCATGTTTTAGGCAAGACCCAATGCTGTGCTGGTTTCAGGTCTGACCCACCATAGTCTTAGCTGTGGTGGCCACAGGCGTGCTGTGTCACCTCTCTCCCAGCTCCAGGCATCTCAGCACAAAGAGAAAGACCCCATTTGTTTGGGAGAAAGTAAGGAAAGAGAAGAAGAGTCCCTGCCTGGTAATCCATAGAATTCTTCCAGATCTTATCCAAGACCACCAAGGTGGTACATCTATGAGTCTGCAAGAACCACAGCATTACCGGGCTTGGGGTACCACCTAATGCAGATATGACTGCAGTGACCAAAAACTTAGATTACAACACACAAGTCCTTTTAAATACCTGGAAAGCCATCCCAAAAAGGACTGGTACAGACAAGCCCAAACTGCAAAGACTATAATAAATACCTAACTCTTCAATGCCCAAATAATGACAAACATCCACAGGAATCAAGACCATCCAGGAAAACATAACCTCACCAAATGAACTAAATAAGGCACCCAGGGCCAATTCCAGAGAGACAGAGATGTGTGACCTTTCAGACAGAGAATTCAAAATAGCTGGTTTGAGGAAACTCAAAGAAATTCAACATAACACAGAGAAGGAATTCATAATCCTATCACATACATTTAACAAAGAAATTGAAATGATTAAAAAGAATCAAAAAGAAATTCTGGAGTTGAAAAATATAACTGACATACTGAAGAATGTATCAGAGTCTCAGTAGCAGAATTGATCAAGTAGAAGAAAGCATTAGTGAGCTTGAAGACAGCTCATTAGTTGTGAAAATACAGAGGGGACAAAAGAAAAAGAATAAAAAAGAATGAAGCACAGCCTACAAGATCTAGAAAATAGCCTCAAAAGGACAAATCTAAGACTTATTGGCCCTAAAGAGGAGGTAGGCAGATCAGGGTAAAAAGTTTATTCAAAGGGACAATAACAGAGAACTTCCTAAACCCAGAAAAAGCTCTCAATATTCAAGTACAAGAAGGTTATAGAACACCAAAGAGATTTAACCCAAAGATGACTACCTAACGGGTTTAATAATCAAACTCCCAAAGGCAAATGATAAAGAAAGAATTCTAAAAGCAGCAAGAGAAAAAAACGAATAACATACAATGGAGCTCCAATACTTCTGGCAGTACACTTTTCAGTGGAAACCTTACAGGCCAGGAGACAATGGCATGACATATTTAAAGTGCTGAAAGAATAGTATAGAATTCCCCTGAATAGTATATCTGATGAAAATGTACTTCAAACATGAGGGAAAAATGAAGACTTTCCCAGACGAACAAAAGCTGAGAGATTTCATCAACATCAGGCCTGTCCTGTAAGAAACGCTAAATGGAGTCCTATAGTCCCATCATCAGACCTGTCCTATAAGAAACTTTCAGAGTGGAGTTCTTCACTCTGAAAGAAACTTCACTCTGAAAGAAAATAATATTAGTGAGCAATAAGAAATCATCTGAATGTACAAAACTGACTGGTAATATCAAGTACACAGACTCTGAATATTATAATACTGTATAATATAATAATATAATACAATAAAATACTATATATAATATAATACTGTATATAATAATTTAATATTATATTATAATACTGTATAATAATTGTGGTATGTAAACTACTCATATCTTAAGCAGAAAGATGAAAAGATTAGCCAATCATAAATAATAGCTACAGGCCAGGCGCAGTGGCTCACGCCTGTAATCCCAGCACTTTGGGAGGCAGAGGCGGGCGGATCACCTGAGGTCAGGAATTCAAGACCACCCTGGCCAACATGGTGAAACCCTGTCTCTACTAAAAATACAAAAATTAGCTGGGCGTGGTGGTGGGCGCCTGTAATCCTAGCTACTTGGGAGGCTGAGACAGGAGAATCGCTTGAACCCGGGAGGCGAAGGTTGCAGTGAGCCGAGACCGGGCCATCGCACTCCAGCCTGGGCAACAGAGTGAAACTCCATCTAAAAATAGTAATAATAGGCTGGGAGTGGTGGCTCACGCCTGTAATCCCAGCACTTTGGGAGGCTGAGGTGGGTGGATCACGAGGTCAGATCGAGACCATCCTGGCTAACATGGTGAAACCCCATCTCTACTAAAAATAAAAAATAAAAAAATTAGCTGGGCGTGGTGGTGGGCGCCTGTAGTCCCAGCTACTTGGGAGGCTGAGGCAGGAGAATGGTGTGAACCCGGGAAGCGGAGCTTGCAGTGAGCCGGAGCTTGCAGTGAGCCGAGATCACACCACTGCACTCCAGCCTGGGCTACTGAGCAAGACTCTGTCTCAAAATAATAATAATAATACCTACAACAACTTTTCAAGACACAGACAGTACAATAAATACAAATAGAAACAATAAAAAGTTATAAAAAGCAGAAAGATGAAGTACAGAGTTTGTATTAGTTTTCTTTTTGCTTGCCTGTCAGTTTGTTGGTTTATGCAATCAGTGTTAAGTTGTCATCAGTTTAAAATAATGGGTTATAAGATACTGTTTGCAAGCCTCTTGGTAACCTCAAATTTAAAAGCATACAATGGATACACAAAAAATGAATAATTTAATCGTACATTTAAAAATAACTAGAATATATAAGAAGCTCAAACAACCCTGTAGGAAAAAATATAACAATCAGATTGAAAAACGGGAAAAATATCTGAATAGATATTTCTCAAAAGGAGACATACAAATGCCAAACAGGCAGATGAAAAGGTGCTCAAATTCAATGATCATCAGATAAATGCAGATCAAACCTACAATGAGATATCATCTTACCCCAGTTAAAATAGCTTTTATCCAAAAGATAGGCAATAACAAATGCTGGTGAGGATGTGGAGAAAAGGGAACCCTTGAACACTGTTGATGGGAATGTAAATTAATACAACCCCTATGGAGAACAGCTTGGAGATTCCTCAAAAAAAACTAAAAGTAGAGCTACCATACAATCCAGTAATCCCACTCTTAGGTATATACCCTCCAAAAATGGAAATCTGTATATCAAAGAGATATCTGCACTGCCATGCTTATTGCAGGACTATTCACTACAGCCAAGATTTGGAAGCAACCTAAGTGTTCATCAACAGATGAATGGATAAAGAAAATGTGGTACATATATACAATGGAATACTATTCAGCCATTAAAAACAGGAATGAGGTTCTGTTATTTGCAATAACATGGATGGAACCTGAGGTCATTATGTTAAGTGAAATAAGCCAGGGACAGAAAGACAAACTTTGCTTGTTCTTACCTATTTGTGGGAGCTAAAAATTAAAACAATTGAACTCATGGAGATAGAGAGTAGAATGATGGTTACCAGAAGCTAGGAAGGGTAGTAGGAGGTTGAGGAGAAACTGGGGATCATTAACGGGTACAAAAAAATAGTTAGAAAGAATGAATAATATGTAGTATTTGATAGTACAACATGGTGACTATATAGTCAATAATAATTTAATTTTTTTTTTTGAGATGGAGTCTTACTTTGTCACCCAGGCTGGAGTGCAGTGGCACAATCTCAGCTCACTGCACCCTCTGCCTCCCGGTTTCAAGCAATTCTCTCACCTCAGCCTCCCGAGTAGCTGGGATTACACAATGCCTGGCTATTTTTTGTATTTTTAGCAGAGATGGGTTTTCACCATATTGGCCAGGCTGGTCTTAAACTCCTGACCTCAAGTGATCTGCCCACCTTGGCCTCCCAAAGTGCTGGGATTACAGGCATGAGCCACCATGGCCAGCCTAATTGTACATTTAAAAATAACTAAAACAGTATAATTAGATTATTTGTAACTAAGGAATAAATGCTTAAGGTGATGGATACCCCATTTCCCCTGGTGTGATTATTACACATTGTATACCTGTATCAAAATATCCCATATACCCCATAAATATATACAGCTACTATGTACCCACAACAATTAAAAATAAAAAATTAAAATGAAAAGAAATAATGAATTTCATGTTATGTGGAATCATGTTATGTACATTTTTTAAAAACTGCACCAAAAAATAAAGTCCATCTTATGCTGGACATTTTGGATCTGACTGTGTCACCTAGAAGAAGAGGTACTAAAAGGATAAAATGATACAATGTATATAAAAGCTTCAAGCACACACAGCTACATAGGCAATACATAATATCTATTATTATTCTGAAGTAAATTAATATTAATCTATAGGTATTTGGGTTTATAACCCAACAGAACAGCCATAAGTCTGTAAAATAAGAAAATGCTATTGCAGAAAAGTAGATGATGGTCTAGGCAATCTATTTGTTTCAATACTGAGAAAGGAGAACTGCAGTCATTAGCTTACTTATAATCATTTAATTAATGCTTCTTATTATGATTCTCTGTTTAAAACAATAGTTGTTCAACAATGTTAGCATTTTAGATGATTTCATTTTAAATAGGATCAATAATGCTAACAAGAAATTCCACATAAGTCTACACACAAGACTGTTATCATCTTTATGAAGATTATCATAGCTAAGTAAAGTTTCAATCTTTTGCAAAGAATAAAGATTGGTTGAATAAAACTAATTTTTTAATTTTAATGAAAACAATATTATTAAAAAGGGTTATCTTGGGCCGGGCCCGGTGGCTCATGCCTGTAATACCAGCACTTTGGGAGGCCGAGGCGGGTGGATCACTTGAGGTCAGGAGTTTGAGACCAGCCTGGCCAACATGGTGAAACCTTGTCTCTACTAAAAAAAAAAAAAAAATTGGCCAGGCTTGGTGGCGCACGCCTGTAATTCCAGCTACTCCGGAAGCTGAGGCAGGGGAATCGCATGAACCCGGAAGGCAGAGGTTGCAGTGAGCCAAGATTATGCCTGCACTCCAGGCAATTACTGCACTCCAGCCTGGAAGACAGTGCGAGACTCCTTCTCAAAAACAAACAAACAAAAAATGTTTATCTCCATAATAAATCTATAAAAATAAGTTTCCGGTCTTTATGAATTTATAGCAGTTACTGATAATTAATATTGAGCACGTTTATTGATTTAATGATGAATGCTTCCAGAAAGCTCTCCCTCAGCCCTCCATCTACCTTTAGTTGCCACCAAGGGTCTCTCCTCTTCATCACATTTAAACATTTTGAAAGAGGTGTCTTCCTTCACTAAAAGCATCTGTATTTCTTCAGAAGTTAGTTTCCTATTAATATTAATAAATTGCCATTTTAATAGATATTGTGGTTTCTATAAGCCTGGTGCTGTGTGTCTTTCTATTTCTTGAAAAAAAAAAAAAGCATGTTTTCATACCTACAAAGTTAAAGGTCAGGCTTTGTTTGAGCCTGGTAAATTCACTAATGTTTCCACCTTACATATATCCTTGGAGTCAGCCAGCTCTTTCTACAGTATTGGAAGGATAAAGAGATGCTGGCCAGGCGCAGTAGCTCACGCCTGTAATCCCAGCACTTTGGGAGGCCAAGGCGGGTGGATCACGAGGCCAGGAGATCGAGACCATCCCGGCTAACACAGTGAAACCCCGTCTTTACTAAAATACAAAAAATTAACCGGGCATAGTGGCAGGCGCCTGTAGTCCCAGCTACTCGGGAGGCTGAGGCAGAAGAATGGCGTGAACCCGGGAGGCAGAGCTGGCAGTGAGCTGAGATCGCACCACTGCACTCCAGCCTGGGTGACAGAGCGAGACTCCATCTCAAAAACAAACAAACAAACAAACAAACAAAGAGATGCTTAAGACCTAAACAGTACTTAAAGAAATGATCATTAAAATTAGATACTACTTCATACCCATGGAAGTGGCAAAATTTAAGACTGATGTTAATACTCCAGTGTTGGAGAAAGAATAGGGAAACAGATACTCTTACATCAATGGATGCAATGTAAATTGATCAAAGTTTCTTAAGAGTCAGATGACAATATGTATAAGAGTCTAAAAATCAGATGACGTTCCCTAAGTACAGCACTTGTAGAAATTTATTCTAGGGAAATAAACAATTATAGTAAAACATACATAAACAAAGATACACAGTATAGCAGTATTTATTAAATCACAAATTTGGAAACTACTTAAATCATTAATACAGGGGAATGACTAAATGAATTATAACACACCAATAGAATACAATGCAAACAATTTAAATCACATTGTAGAAGCAAAGTTATTAATGTGGAAAATGTCCAAAACATATTGCCAAATTAAAATAATTAAGCTATAATATTTTATGTTTGCTATAAAATATATTATGTATATGTTTACACAGGTATATCTATATCTATAAGGATTATAGCATTATGACTTCAGTTTATGTTTACTTTGTGATTTTTCTGTTTTTATTTCTGCACTGATTAGAATTGGCAATATCTGTAGAAGATATCCCCTGTATTAATGATTTAAGTAGTTTCCAAATTTGTGATTTAATAAATACTGCTATATTGTATGTCTTTGTTTATGTATGTTTTATTATAATTGTTTATTTCCCTAGAATAAATTTCTACAAGTGCTGTACTTAGGGAACGTCATCTGATTTTTAGACTCTTATACATATTGTCATCTGACTCTTAAGAAACTTTGATCAATTTACATTGTATCCATTGATGTAAGAGTATCTGTTTCCCTATTCTTTCTCCAACACTGGAGTATTAACATCAGTCTTAAATTTTGCCACTTCCATGGGTATGAAGTAGTATCTAATTTTAATGATCATTTATTTAAGTACTGTTTAGGTCTTAAGCATCTCTTTATCCTTCCAATACTGTAGAAAGAGCTGGCTGACTCCAAGGACATGTGTAAGGTGGAAACATTAGTGAATTTACCAGGCACTAATTCTTTTTTCAACTATTTAGTTCACTGTTTAATCCTTCCCTTGAGTTTGTTATTTAATTAACTATTTTTTATATCTAGAAATTTTATCAAGTCTACTTCAAATCTGCTTAGTCTTTTGAAATAATGCCTTGTTTTCTCACTATTTTTAAATTTACAGAATCACTTTTAACATTTTTGTTTCATAGTCCCTATCGAATAGTTGTATTTTCACATGTTCTTTGATTTCTAAGTTCTTGTATTTGCTATCTCATTCATGATAAGTTGTTTCCTCCTGTAACTAGGGATTTTGACCACATCTCAAGCAAAATAAGAATCTTATTAGTGGCCTGAGTTTAAGGTGTGTTCCTTCAGAAAAGTTTTGCAATTACAATTGGTTCTCATTATTCAAAAGAGTCCATATCTGCAGGTTCACCTACTTGCTAAAATTTGTTTGCTACCCCAAAATCAATACACATGGCTGTTTCCCAGTTATCTGCAGACATTCATTTGTGCCGAGCTGTGAAAAAATTTGAGTCCCCTGTGCCCATTTCCAGCTGAGGTCAAACAAGGCTAGGTTCCGCCTTCTTTCAGCTCACATACGGTAAACAAGTGTCCCTGTCTCAGTATATTTAGTGCTACATTATTCACATTCTTGTGCTTTTCGTTGGTGATTTTGCTGTTTAAAATGGCCTCCAAACATAGTGCTAAAGTGCTGTCTAGTGTTAACTCAGTGCAGGAGGATGTGTTGTCATTGTACACCTTAAATATATACATTTTTACTTGTCAGTTCTACCTCAGTGAAGCTGGGGAAAAAAAAAACAGTTAAAGAAGAAAAAGAGGCTGTGATGTGCCTTACAGGGAAAATACTATTAGGTAAGCTTTATTCAGGCATGAGTTATAGTGCTGTTAGTAGTGAGGTCAGTGTTAATGAATCAACAATACACATTAAAGAGGATGTATTTAAAAACATGTAAAACAAGGTTATGTATACAATAAGATAATAAAATTGTGTTAAGCAGTGAACTGTGGGGAGAGGGCAGGCAGGTAACTTTGGCATCACCAAGCTGTATGGGGGAAAAGTGTTTCAGTTCTCAGATCCATTTTATTTTATTTATTTGTTTATTTATTTATTTATTTATTTATTTATTTATTTATTTTAGTTATTTTTGAGACAGTCTCGTTCCGTCACCCAGGCTGTAGGGCAGTGCCGTAATCTCGGCTCACTGCAACCTTCGCCTCCTGGGTTCAAGCGATTCTCCTGCCTCAGCCTCCTAAGCACCTGGGATTACAGGCGCACGCCACCATGCCCAGCTAATTTTTGTATGCTTAGTAGAGACGAGGTTTTACCATGTTGGCCAGGCTGGTCTCGAACTCCTGACCTCAAGTGATCTGCACACCTCAGCCTCCCAAAGTGCTGGGATTACAGTTCAGATACATTTTACATGAATTTCTCAGCTTGAGGATCACTGCCATGCATGGAGCATAACTCCAGACCTGAGATCTGAATGAGGGCAGGCTTAAATGATAAATTCACAAGGGCAAACCACTACCTCTTTTTTCTCTACTCTGGTTCCAGAATAAGATAGATATCTTTATCTCAGCCTTGCTTGCTTGCTTGCTTAGTTTTCACTCAGCATTTCTATATATGTTTTAGCAAAAGAGTTTGGGCGTTGTCTTGTTCAAAATATTGCCTCTATTACTTTTATTTATTTATTACTATTTTTTTTCTTTTTTTTCACCAAAGCCAATTGTCCTGAATCTAGTACTTCTATAACTAGGAAAATATATTATTGAGAGTCCAGATATACCCTGACCACCCAAGAGAGGAGGGAAGATGTACAACAAATACTTCAATAAAATCAGTATATTCTGCAAAAGAGAAAAATAAGAGGTAAGGCATTTAAGCATTATTATCCAGGAAATATAAAGTAGAAGGAGAGGCTGGGATTTGGATTTAGACAATTCTAGATGCAAAATCTACTTCTCTCCCTTATGCCTATGGGATCCTGGGCCAATTAATGAACATCTCTCATCTTCATTTTCCCCACCTGGAAAATAAGGACAACATGTACAGCTGAGGCTATGCTACATTAGGTACTTGCTGAGATATCAATGACTAAGAGATTAAAGCAATGATATCCAAAGTGTGGCCTGCAGACTTCTGAGGTTTCCAAGACCCTTTCAAGAGATCCATAGCCAAAACTGTTTTCATAATAATGCTAAGGCATTGTGTCGTTTTTACTATGTTGATGTTTGCACTGATGCTGCAAAAGCAATGGTGGGTAAAAGGATTGGAAATTTACTGGAATCGAGGTAGTGGCACCAAACTGTGCTAGTGGCCATTGTTACTATTCACTGCTATGCACTCAAAGTAAAAAATGCCACTTTTATTTATTAATGTCATGGATAAAGCAGTAAAACTTATTAATTGTATTGAATTTCAAGTCTTAAGTAAAAGGTTTTTGGGTGACAAAATGGGAAGTACAAATAAAGCACTTCTGCTGCACACCAAAGCAGGATGATTATCTTGAGGAAAAGCACTTACGTGATTTTTCAAGTTGCCAGGTAAACTAGACAATTTTTTCTTGGAACACAATTTTTGTGTGAAAGAGTAACTAACAAGACAAACTATGTTTACTCAGACTTTGGCATCTGGCAGAAATTTTTTCAAAAATGAATGAAGTACTCCTGTTACTTCAAGGAAAACACCACGGTATTTCTTGCGGATGATAAAATTTTGAACTTTTAAGTAAAAATTAGAATATCAAAAAACTTTTATCTGCCACAGCGACCCTGTCAACTTCCAAATACTAAAGACTTCCCTGACTAGGAAAATGCACAGGTGGCTGGGTATGGTGGCTCACGTCTGTAATCCCAGCACTTTGGGAGGCCGAGGAAGGCAGATCATTTGAGCCTAGGAGTTCAAGACCAGCCTGGGCAACATAGCTGTCTCTACTAAAAATACAAAAATTCGCTGGGCAAGGTGGCATGCCTGTAGTGCCAGCTACTCAGGAGGCTGAAGTGAGAGGACTGCTTGAGCCTGGAAGGTGGAGGCTGCAGTGAGCCGTAATCACATCACTGCTTTCCAGCCTGAACAACAGAGTGAGACCCTGTTTCAAAAATAAAAATAAACTGTAATCCATTCCTCAGGAGTCTTGATCCTCCTTTCTGTCCCGTTTTTCTTCTCTCTATCCCTATAGGACTTATCGCCTTGTAGCATTCTACATAATTTACTTATTTCTCTGTTTGTCTATTCTCTATCTCACTTCACTAAAAGATAAGCTCTATGACAAAAGAAATTACTTGAGTTACATCTTCACTGATGTAACTCAAGCCTGTAAAACAGTGCCTAAGACATTGTAAGCATTACATACATATTCATCAAATTAACAGATGTTTGTAATAGTAATATCTTTTGTAAGTATATTTATAAAAACAAGATTATGCATCAAGTTCTTAAGTGTCATTATCTTGGTTATAATGCACATATTTCCCTATATTTTTAATTTTTCTCAATAAACCTGTGTTTTTTAAAAAAATCAGTATACACACACACACACACACACATCTATATATGTATGTACATTTAGCCCAGCTCAAATTTCTTTTTTTTTTTTAAGACGGAGTCTCACTTTGTTGCCCAGGCTGGAGTGCAGTGACACAATCTCTGCTCACTGCAGGCTCTGCCTCCCAGGTTCACGCCTCCCGAGTAGCTGGTACTACAGGCGCCCACCACCATGCCCAGCTAATTTTTTTTTTGTATTTTTAGTAGAGACAGGGTTTCACCATGTTAGCCAGGATGGTCTTGATCTCCTGACCTCGTGATCTGCCCACCTCAGCCTCCCAAAGTGCTGGGATTACAGGCATGAGCCACCACACCCAGCCAGCCCAGCTCAAATTTCTAACTCTGATACAAAACTCTCATCATTCAGAATTTATTCTTCTTTGATGCCATAGTAAGACTTTGGGTTTGTTTGTTTTTTGTTTTGTTTTGTTTTTTTGAGACTTAGTCTTGCTCTGTCTCCAGGCTGGATTGCAGTGATGCAATCTCAGCTCACTGCAACCTCCACCTCCCAGGTTCAAGGGATTCTCCTACGTCAGCCTCCCAAGTAGCTGCTGTGTCCAGAATTAGTGGGTTCTTGGTCTCGCTGACTTCAAAAATGAAGCCGCAGACCCTTGCAGTGAGTGTTACAGTTCTTAAAGATGGTGTGTCCAGAGTTTGTTCCTTTAGATGTTCAGATGTGTCCGGAGTTTCTTCCTTCTGGTGGGTTCGTGGTCTCGCTGACTTCAGGAGTGAAGCTGCAGACCTTCGTGGTGCGTGTTACAGCTCATAAAGGCCACGCGGACCCAAAGAGTGAGCAGCAGCAAGATTTATTGTGAAGAGTGAAGAAACAAAGCTTCCACAGTGTGGAAGAGGACCCCAGCGGGTCACCACTGCTGGCTCAGGCAGCCTGCTTTTATTCCCTTATCTGACCCCACCCACATCCTGCTGATTGATCTGTTTTACAGAGAGCTGATTGGCCCGTTTTACAGAGAGCTGATTGGCCCACTTTAACAGGGTGCTGACTGGTGCGTTTACAAACCTTGAGCTAAACACAAAGTGCTGATTGGTGCATTTACAATTTTCCAGCTAGACATAAAAGTTCTCCAAGTCTCCACTAGATTAGCTAGACACAGAGCACTGATTGGTGCGTTTACAAACCTTGAGCTAGATACAGGGTGCTGATTGGTGCATTTACAATCTTCCAGCTAGACATAAAAGTTCTCCAAGTCCCCACCTGACTCAGGAGCCCAGCTGGCTTTGCCTAGTGGATCCTGCGCCAGGGCTGTGGGTGGAGCTCCTCGCCAGTCCCATGCCCTGCACCTGCACTCCTCAGCCCTTGGGTGGTGACGGGACTGGTTGCCATGGAGCAGGGGGCCGTGCCCGTTGGGGAGGCTCAGGCTGCAGGGGAGCCCATGGGCGTGGGGGGGGATCAGGGCGGGGGGGAGGCTCTGGCATGGCGGGCTGCAGGTCCCAAGCCCTGCCCCACAGGGAGGCGGCTGAGGCCTGGCGAGAATTCGAGCATGGCGCGGGCAGGCCGGCAGTGCTGGGGGACCCGGAGCACCCTCCGCAGCTGCTGACCCAGGTGCTAAGCCCCTCACTGCCCGGGGCTGACGGCACCGGCCGGCCACTCTGATTGCAGGGCCTGCCAAGCCAGCGCCCACCTGGAACTCATGCTGGCCTGCGAGCGCTGTGCGCAGCCTCGGTTCCCACCTGTGCCTCTCCCTCCACACCTCCCCGCAAGCAGAGGGAGCCGGCTCCAGCCTTGGCCAGCCCAGAGAGGGGCTCCCACAGTGTAGCGGTGGGCTGAAGGGCTCCTCAAGTGGGGCCAGAGTGGACGCCGAGGCCGAGGAGGTGCTGAGAGCGAGCAAGGGCTGCTGGCACGTTGTCACCTCTCAATCACCCCTCTAAACAGGACACCCCAACTGCTGTTGGGAATTTGGCCAATGACTGCTCTAGCTACTTCCTGCTGGATAGTGGCAATGACTGCTCTAGCTACTTCCTGCTGGATAGTGGCAAAGAAGGTGCCCTGCAGTTGTAGTGTCCTCCAGAGAGGAACTCTTTAGGCCAGTGGAAGGACCAGCAGGTCGGTCCAGGGGTCCTCAGTAGAAGTTGTTAGTTGAGCTCATTTGGGGTTCCATTTGTAAGACCATCTGTAGCTTGATGGCCTCGATTCTAGAGGAAACAAATTTGACCAGAAGGTTAAAAATACAGGGCCCAAAGGCAAGTAACAGCAAGATAGCTGCCATGGGACCTAGAAAGGGGAGAAGCCATGTTGCCCAACTCCAGAGGTTGGTATAAGAGTTTGAAAGGCATTGTCTGATTTCAGAAGCCTTTTCCTGTAAACACCGGGCAGCATCTCTTACTATCCCTGATTGGTTCGTGTAAAAACAACACTCTTCCCCTAAGAAGGTGCAGAGTCCTCCTTCCTCAGCAGTGAGGAGGTCTAGGCCTCAGCAGTTTTGGAGAGTCACTGCTGCTAAAGAGTCTATTTGGGATTGTAGAGTAAGGATAGATTTCGTTATCTCTTGCAAACTGTCTGAGAAATCCTTTGAGAGTGTGTGGTAGTAGGATAATGAAGTAGATAAACTGGCTATTCCGGTTCCTGTAGCAGTTGCCATTCCTAACCCTATAAGTAGGGGTATTAGTTGTATGGCTCTGTGCTGACGAACTTGAGCTTTGAGGATTACTGATAAGGTCTGATTTCCACAAGATTAGAAGTTAGGATAATATATGTTTACACTGTTAACTTTTAGCAAACTACTTTTGTTGAAAACCTTGTAAGTTTGGGATTTCAATTACTCTCTGCTATTAATAATACCTCGTTCAGTCCATATTAACTTAAAATTGGTATAGATGGCTCCTTCCTGATTCTGTAAGTACTTTAAGGTTTGGCTGAGTGCAAACAGCTCACACATTTGAGCAGACCAATTATCAGGCAATTTTCCTAACTCTGCTTCTACAAGAGTTTCCTTATCACCTACTTAATACGCATCATGTCTTTTTCCCTTAATCGCCTGTGAGGAACCATCTATTGTCCTGTCCTGAAGGGAGTTCCTCCTAGAGCTGGTTGGACCTTTGTATGGTAATTAGTTAAGATTTAGATCCCCTGTTAGGAAACCTGCTGGGTTAAGGATTTTTGATAGGAAGGCTATGGGTTGTCAGTGGCCTCAGTGCTTTCAGGCTATGCCCTTGTTTACACTGACAATGAGGTGGTATTGGAGTGTTATAAGGTTACAGAGAAGACCTTCAATTATCAATTGTAGGTTTTAAATTTACCCTGGCTTTTAAAGGAATAGGGTACACTGTTTTTTATTTACTACTTCCATCTCTCTTTCTTTCTCTTTGACTTCTTCTTTGTCTCTCTCCTTCTGACTCCCTCTTTGTCTCTTCCTCTCTCCTTCTTTCTTTGACTTTTTGTCTCTTTCTCTTTCTCACTCCCTGTTTGTCTCTGTCTGTTTCTTTCTCTCTTTGACTTTCTGTCTGTCTCTTCCTCTCTCTGTCTCTCTCTTTCTCTCTGCTGGTCTTTCCCTGCCTCTGCCAGCTGCTTGTGCTGCTGTTCTCCCCTTTCCTTCCCCTTTTTGATGGCTTCGGCAGTGTAAGACTGCCACCTCCTTGGGTTTTTGCACTGCGTGCAATAACTCCATAATTTCTTTGTGGTATTTAATGGGGGTTCCCCCAGAGGTTAGGAACTCCCTTTCTTTCCATATTGCAGCATGAGCATGTAGGATTAGATAAGCATACTTGCTATTTGTATACACATTTATTCTTTTTCCCTTTCCCAGTTCTAAGGCTCAAGTAAGTGCCACTACTTCTGCTAACTGGGCACTGGTCCCTGGGGGAAGAGACTTACTTTCAAGTACAGTTACATCATTATCTATGGCATAACCTGCCCTTCATACCCCATTCTCCACAAATGAACTTCCATCGGTATATAGGTTAAGGTCAGGATTAGCTAAGGGGACTTCTAAGAGATCATCTCGGGCGGCATAAGTCTGGACTATAATTTGTTGGCAGTCATGCTCGATTGGTTCCCCATCCTCTGGGAGAAAAGTGGCAGGGTTGAGGGCCATGCACGTACCTATTTGAAGCACCAGTCCCTCAAGGAGTAGCGCTTGGTATCTAAGTAGGCAGTTGTCTGATAGCCATAAAATTCCTTTGGCACCTAGTATGCCATTTACATCATGAGTAGTCCAGATAGTGAGATCCTTTCTTTGTATTATTTTGACAGCTCCTGACACTAAGACAGCCACCACCACAACTACCTGTAAACAGTGAGGCCAGCCTTTTGCTACCACATCAATTTCCTTACTTAGGTATGCCACTGGTTGTGGGGTTGTCCCACGAGTCTGAGTAAGGACTCAAAGAGCTATCCCTACTCTCTCTGTGATGTATAAAGAGAAGTTTTCTCCTATGGGAAGGCTTAAAGCTGGAGCTTGTACAAGGGCCTGCTTTAAGGTTTTGAAGGCTGTTTCTGCCTCTGGTTCCCATTCTACTAGATGAGTATTTGCTCTCTGGGTCTCCTTGATTAGAGTATAGAGGGGCCTGGCTATCTTGCTGTATCCTGGGATCCATAGTCAGCAAAAGCCAGTGATTTCAAGGAACCCCGCAACTGTTTTAATGTCTTAGGGTGAGGATAAGCCAGTATAGGCTGTATTCATTCCTTGCTGAGGGCCCTGGTCCCTCTGGCTAAGATTAGGCCTAGATATTTGACCTGCTATAGGCAAAGCTGGGCCTTCGACCTAGACACTTGTACCCTTGATTAGCTAGAAAGTTCAAGAAATCTAGAGTAGCCTGCTGGCATGAAGCTTCCGAACTGGTAGCCAAAAGTAAATCATCCAAATACTGAAGGACCAGAGTGCCTGGACTTCAGAAGTGGCCTAGATCTTGGGCCAGTGCCTGACCAAACAGGTGAGGGCTATCCCTAAGCCCTTGGGGCAAGACTGTCCACATAAGTTGGGACGTGTGGTCTGTGGGATCCTCAAAGGCAAAGAGAAACTGGGAGTCAGAGTGCAGGGGAATACAGAAGACATCCTTGAGGTCCAGAACAGTGAACCATTCTGCTTCCTCTGGTATTTGAGAGAGCAGGGTATAGGGGTTGAGTACAACTGGATATAGAGGAATTACTGCCTCATTGATGAGTCTAAGATCTTGCACTAGTCTCCACTGACCGGTTTTTGTACTCCTAGAATTGGGGTGTTGCAGGGACTGCTGCATTTCCTTACTAAGCCTTGAGCTTTTAAATGTTTAACAATATCCTGTAATCCTTTATGAGCTTCAGGTCTTAAGGGATATTGCCTTTGATAAGGAAAAGTGGTGGGGTCTTTCAGTCTGATTTGGACTGGGCGGGCATTTTTTGCCCTTCCAAATTGTCCTTTCAATGCCCAGACTTCAGGGTTGATTCCCTCCTCAAGTAGGGGGACAACAAATGGGTAACTTGTTCCCCATATTCATGTAGATAATAGCTCCAGCCTTGGCTAATATATCCCTCCCTAATAAGGGTGTGGGACTTTCAGGCATAACAAGAAAGGCATGTGAAAAGAGCAAAGTCTCCCAATTACAACTGAGGAGGTGGGAGAAATACCTGGTTACAGGCTGTCCCAGGATTCCTTGGATGGTAAGGGACCTTGAGGACAGTCATCTAAGACATGAGATTAACACTGAGAAGGCTGCGCCAGTGTCCAGGAGGAAGTCAATTTCCTGGCCCTCAGTGGTTAACTGTACCCAGGGCTCAGTGAAGGTGATGACATGAGCTGGCACTTGCCCCGGGCACCCTCAATCCTGTTGTTGGATCATCTGGTTGGGGGCTTCTGACCCAGAGAACCTTCATCCTCTGGAGCAGTGCACCTTCCAGTGATTGCCTCGGCATAGTGGACGTGGACGAGGGGGCAGCTTGTTTCTCATTGGACAATCTTTTTTAAAGTGTCCTAATAAACCACACTGATAACAAGCCCTACCGGGTGATTGGCCTGCTTCATTTTCTGTCCTCTCTGAACCACCAAGGTTTGTTTGTCTGAGGGCCATGACTAAGGCTGCAGCCTTTCTCTGATCTCACTTTTCCTTCTGGGCTTGTTCGTCTTGGTCCCTATTATAGAACACTGAGGTTGCCAGGTTTAATAATGCCTCCAGATTTTGTTCAGGGCCCAGGGCTTGCTTTTGGAGCTTTCTCCTGATATCTGCGGCTGATTGGGTAATAAACTTATCTTTTAGAATCAGTTGACCCTCGAGTGATTCGGGAGACAGGGGAGTATATTTTCTTAAGGCCTCCTGTAGCTGCTCAAGGAAGGCAGAAGGATTTTCTTCCTTTCCCTGAGTTATGGTGGACATCATTGAATAATTCATGGGCTTTTTCCTAATTCTCCTTAGTCCTTCTAGAACACAGGTCAACAGATGTTTATGACTCCAGTCCCCATGATCTCATTCAAGGTCCCAGTGGGGATCCATATTGAGGACAGCTTGCTGACTGGTAGGGAATTTATCACTTTCTTCGGCTGTCATTTTATCATTTACTTGACTAAGATACCAAGTATCTCCAAACTCTTGGGCTGCAGCTAAAGCTGCATTGTTTTCATTAAAGGCCAGGGTTTGATCTAACAGCAGCATGACATCTCTCCAAGCGAGGTTGAAGGTTTGCCCTAGACCCTGTAGGACATTTATGTACCTACCAGGATCATCTGAAAACTTCCCCAGGTCTGCCTTGATCTGCTTTAAATCAGAGAGGGAGAAGGGGACATGTACCCGGGTTGGGCCAAATTCCCCTCCCCCTACAAGCTTGAAGGGGACATAACCGATAGCCCGGGGGGGTTTGTGGTCCTTTGGAGATTTCTTTGCTTATTTCCTTCTGGGCAGGGGAGATTAGAGGAGTATTATCATTCATAGGAAGGGGAGCTATAGGGAGTCTAGTATATGGGGGTAAGCTGAGAGGTCCTCCTGTGGGATGTAAATTGCAAGCTTTGCATAGTTGTGTATTCTCCTTCAATGAAAAGAAAGCTTGGACATAAGGTATTTCACTCCATTTGCCTTCCCTCTTACAGAAAAGGTCAAGCTGCAGGATAGTATTGTAATTTGTACTTCCCTCAGGTGGCCATTTTTCCCTATCAGAGAGAGAATATTGGGGCCAAGCTGTAGTGCAGAAAAAAATGAGCCGCTTCTTTTTCAGGGTTTGTGGGTCAAATTGGTCCCAATGGCTGAGGATGCATTTCAAGGGTGAGCCTGTTGATGCCTGAGTGTTTCCCATCTGAAAGACAAAACCGCCCACAGTTTTGGTTTGTTTTGTTTCTCCCCCTGCCCAAGAACCTGCAACGGTCCCTGGACCCTGCTGATCAGAATAATTGCGCTCTCCGATGCAGCAGCAGAAACACTAGTTTTTCCCCCAGACCACAAGGAGGACCGAGGAAGGTCGGATTTAGTGGCTCTTACCGACGCATTCTTGAAAATCTGCACCCTTGCCTGTCCTCCTAGACCACAAGGAGGACTGAGAAAAATCAGATTTAGTGGCCCTTACCAATGCATTCTTGAAAACCTGTTAGAGTCCTAAGCATTCTCCTGTTAGTACTGGGACTTTACCCCTGTCCTATAAAGATGTTATGCCCCAAAAATGAAGTGGAGGTCCATACCCTGAGGGAGGGAAGGGATCTCCAGGGTTGGAAGAGTGACACCTTTTGTCCTCACTTATATGAATAGGAAGGATACAATTTTTGAGGCTTCCCATATCCTCACTTGAGGAATAGCTTTTGTTAGGCCTGTTAGTCTGAGGAGGGATCCTAAAATTCCAGATAGTCCCCCCTACAATGGGGCTTTGGGCAAACATTATGTCTTTCTGATTGGTGAGCCAGGGTGCCTAAAGAAGGTAACAGAGTCTTGGAGTTTATACTAGAAGTCATTCTTATAGGAGAAACTAGAAAACACCAGAGACGGAGTGATTTTTAGAAGTGGGACTAGCCTCGGAGAAGAGAGGTGAGAGGAAGTTTGTCTGGCAGGCATTAGGACCCAGGGGGCAAGGGTCAGGATAGATAGGATAGATGGGTGAGTCTCGCTTGGGCGACATGCCTTTGAGAATTCCGCTCATGGCCGCAGGGTCAACAAACTTGTTGTTGGGACCCTGGAGCTGAATGGCTTTCCTCTCTGTCAACCCTCGGCTCAGCCCAGAAGTACGGGAAAAGCGGAAGCTGGTTCCAAGCAAACCAACCCTCCCACTCCGAAGAGTCGGGGGTTGTTAGAGAGCCCTTTCCCAGAAAGCCTGACACCCGTGTCTTTAGTCTGGCAGCCATGCTAGTTGCTTTTAACTGGCCGACAGGTGCCCGGTATTTAGCCCCCGAATTCTAAGGAAAAATAGGACAGAATAGCAAGTGAAAGAGGTCTGATGGTACTCACCGCTTGGTGATAGGCGATAGTCCCATCTGGGCTGCCAAAATGTGTCCAGAATTAGTGGGTTCTTGGTCTTGCTGACTTCAAGAATGAAGCCATGGACCCTCGCAGTGAGTGTTACAGTTCTTAAAGATTGTGTGTCCAGAGTTCATTCCTTCAGATGTTCAGATGTGTCTGGAGTTTCTTCCTTCTGGTGGGTTTGTGGTCTCGCTGACTTCAGGAGTGAAGCTGCAGACCTTCGCAGTGAGTGTTACAGCTCTTAAAGGTGGCGCGTCTGGAGTTGTTCGTCCCTCCCCAGGGGTCCATGATCTCACTGGCTTCAGGAGTGAAGCTGCAGACCTTCATGGTGAGTGTTACAGCTCATAAAGGCCATGTGGACCCAAAGAGTGAACAGCAGCAAGATTTATTGCAAAGAGCAAAAGAACAAAGCTTCCATGGCGTGGAAGGGGACCTGAGCAGGTTGCCACTGCTGACTCGGGCAGCCTGCTTTTATTCCCTTATCTGACCTACCCACATCCTGCTGATTGGTCCATTTTACAGAGAGCTGACTGGCCCATTTTACAGAGAGCTGATTGGCCCATTTTGACAGGGTGCTTATTGGTGCACTTACAAACCTTGAGCTAGACACAGAGTGCTGATTGGTGCATTTACAATCCTTTAGCTAGACACAAAACTTCTCCAAGTCCCCACTAGATTAGCTAGACACAGAGCACTGATTGGTACGTTTACAAACCTTGAGCTAGACACAGAGTGCTGATTGGTGCATTTACAAACCTTGAGCTAGACACAAAGTGCTGATTGGTGCATTTACAATCCTCCAGCTAGACATAAAAGTTCTCCAAGTCCCCACTAGATTAGCTAGACACAGAGCAGTGATTGGTGCATTTACAAACCTTGAGCTAGACACAGGGTGCTGATTGGTGCATTTACAATCCTTTAGCTAGACATAAAAGTTCTCCAAGTCCCCACCCAACTCAGGAGGCCAGCTGGCTTCACCTAGAGGAGCCCGTGCCGGGGCCGTGGGTGGAGCTGTCCACCAGTCCAATGCTGTGCGCCAGCAGTCCTCAGCCCTTGGGCGGTCAATGGGATCAGGCACCGCAGAGCAGGGGGTGGCACCCATTGGGGAGCTTCTGGCCGCGCAGGAACCACAGGGTGGGGGGGTCACTTGGGCATGGCAGGCAGTGGGTCTCGAGCCCTGCCCAGCGGGGAGGCGGCTGAGGCCTGGCGAGAATTCAAGCATGGTGCAGGCTGGCCGACAGTGCTGGGGGACCCTGCGCACCCTCTGCAGCTGCTGGCCCGGGTGCTAAGCCCTTCACTGCCCGGGGCCAGCAGCACTGGCCGGCCACTCCAAGTGCGGGACCCACTGAGTCCACGCCCACCCGGGACTTGTGCTGGCCCATCAGTGCTGCGCGCAGCCTCGGTTCCCGCCCACGCCTCTCCCTCCACACCTCCCCATAAGCGAAGGGACCCAGCTCTGGCCTTGGCCAGCCCAGAGAGGGACTCCCACAGTGCAGTGGTGGGCTGAAGGGCTCCTCAAGCATGGCGAGAGTGGACGCCGAGGCCAAGGAGGCGCCGAGAGTGAGCAAGGCCTGCTAGCACATTGTCACCTCTCACTGGGATTACAGGCGCCCACCAGCACGCCCGGCTAATTTTTGTATTTTTAGTAGAGTTGGGGTTTTGCCATGTTGGCCAGGCCGGTCTCAGACTTCTGACCTCAAGTGATTTGCCCTCCTCAGCCTCCCAAAGTGCTGGGATTACAGGCATTGGCCACCACACCTGGCCAATTTTGTGTGTTTATTAAGTGCTGTTCACATTCTTCCTTGTTTTTTCATTCATTATGTACATGCTTACCTCTCTCAGTAAATTTCAAGCTCTTGAAAGGCAAGCCAATGTGGCGTTCACATAGAACTCTAGTTAATTGAGTTTTTGACTGGCCATGCCACAAAGATAACATTTTAAAAACTACAGTGGTTTTTGTTTTGTTTTGTTTTTTCTGAGATGGAGTTTCGCTCTTGCTGCCCAGGCTGGAATGCAGTGACGTGATCTCGGCTCACTACAACCTCCGCCTCCCGGGTTCAAGTGATTCTCCTGCCTCAGGCTCCTGAGTAGCTGGGATTACAGGCATCCGCCACCATGCCTGGCTAAATTCTATTTGTATTTTTAGTAGAGACAGGGTGTCACCATGTTGGCGAGGCTGGTCTCGAACTCTTGATCTCAATGATCTACCCGCCTTGGCCTCCCAAAGTGCTGGGACTATAGGCTAGAGCTACTGCGCCCAGCCCTAGAATGGATTAATCTTAAAAACTGGTATTTGTCATTCAGTGATGTAGACTTTGTGAACTTTTAAAGAATAACCTTTGGGCCGGGCGCAGTGGCTCATGCCTGTAATCCCGGCACTTTGGGAGGCCGAGGCGGGCAGATGACTTGAGGTCGGGAGTTTGAGACCAGCCTGACCAACATGGAGAAACCTCGTCTCTACTAAAAATACAAAAAAATTAGCCAGGCATGGTGGTGCATGCCTGTAATCCCATCTACTCGGGAGGCTGAGGCAGGAGAATTGCTTGAACCCAGGATGCAGAGGTTGCAGTGAGCCCAAATCATGCCATTGCACTCCAGCCTGGGCAACAAGAGCGAAACTCTGTCTCAAAAAAAAAAAAAATAATAACCTTTAAGTACTGGCACTAAATAAACATAATCCTGCCCAACTTTTTGGTTTCTGTAGAGAAGCCAAAAAGTCAAGAGTTCTTTCTGGCTGCCTTTTTATAAAATATATAAAGCAGCCCAACTGTAGTGGCTCATGCCTGTAATCCCAGCACTTTGGGAGGCTGAGGCAGGCGGATCACTTGGGGTCAGGAGTTTGAGACTAGCCTGGCCAACATGGCAAAACCCTTTCTCTACTAAAAATACAAAAATTTAGGTGAACATGGTGGTGTGCACCTGTAGTCCCAGCTGTTTGGGAGGCCAAGGCATGAGAATTGCTTGAACCAGGAGGCGGAGACTGCAGTGAGCTGAGATCACCCCACCGCACTCCAGCCTGGTTGACAGAGTGAGACCCTGTCTCAAAAAAAAAAAATATATATATATATATATATTATATATACACTATATATATAATATATATACTATATATTATATATACTATATATAATATATAATATATATACTATATATAATATATAGTATATATAATATATATAGTATATATACACTATATATATACACAATATATATATACACTATATATATACACACAAACAAAATATATAAAAATATATATAAAGCTAGGTTTTTTTATAATTGTATTTTAAAAGTAGAGTTTTTATGATATCAAGAGTTAATATTAAGTTAGTAGCTTCCTTCTGAACCTTGCTCCAAGTCAAAGTTTGAGACCTGGCTTTGGGTTAAAGTAACAAATGGCCCAGTTTGACCCTTCCCTCTTCTTCCAAGCCCACTGAATTCCTGAGTCTCCAAATACCAAAAATAGCTCATCCTCTACCAAGACAGAGAGAGAGAGAGAGAGAGAGAGAGAGAGAGAGAGAGAGAGAGAGAGAAAGGTTATTTTTAGATTCAGAGGAATCTGAAATTGGGCCAGGTTGAAATTTAGACTAACACAAGGAATGTTTATGAGCAATATTTGACTTACTGTCTTTCCCTGGAAAGCAGTGTAGTGTAGAAAAAAAGAGCATGGGATTGTTAAAAATGATGTTTATGAATAGTTCATGATAACATGGAAATGTGCCTTATGTTGTAATGGTAAGTGAAAACAACTGAATAAAAAATTATACTTGCAAAACAGTCACACCTCTGTTAAACAAAAAATGAAAAATTACACTTAGAAGAAAGAATATCAAGAAATACAGATCAAAATATCAACAATGCTGGCATTTAGATTATGAAACTTTGAATAATTCTTTTTTTTTACTGCTTTTCTGCATTTCACAAATCATTTATAATTTGTGTGTGTATATATTTGTAATTAGAAAATAGTAACTTTCAAAAGAATGAAAGGAAGTAAAAGAAGGCAAGAAAGAGAAAATGTGAGTTTTGGAGTCAGACTGATCTGAGTTCAAATCACCTAAAAATTGAGACATGTTAGACAAGCCAAGAAGTATAATAATATTTAGTCCCTACTGGGTTACAGGTGGCTTAAACAGCAGTTCTGCCACTACCCGTGAGCAAAAAGAACTGCTACTTTGTATCCTCATGCTTTAGAGGGTCTTATATATAATATACCCCTCTCTCTCTCTTTCACACACACACACAAAAACAAAACAAAACAAACAAAAAAAAAACCATGAGTGCCTTCATCATTGTCTAACTGGTGTTCAGCACTGGCTCAGTGCAACCCTTCATCTTAAACATGTATTCTCAGGACTAACATTGTAACATTGTTCAGGACTCAGAGAAATGCTTCTCTGAATCTCTTGCCCTACCAAAGGCAACTGTGTTCAAATGCTGTAATAGTCTGTGGGTTTTCCTGGTGGCAATATAAAAGATAAATACTGCTTCAGAGTATGGAGAGGACTTGAGTAGCAAAATGCTTAGGTAAGAAAAAAGAGTAATTAATTAACTTGTCAAATTCTTCCTTTTAGCATGAATGCAATAGATTCTTCCATAGCCAAGAATCATTTTCCATTAGAGCAAAGCATCCACTTTCTTGCTTCTGTTCCTATTCCAGTTTGTGGTTCCTAAGTACTCATGAAGCAGCATGGTATTCACAAGAGTTACGTATTGTTACTATGGCAGGCAATCTTCTAAGATGGTCTCCAGTGATTCTCACCTCATTGTATTTATGCCCTTTAAAGTACTATGGCTTCCATCTTACTGGCAGACTCTCTCTATTGCCTTCCTGGCTCACATGCTTTGATGAAACAAGCTGCTATTGTTGGATGGACCCATATGGCAAACAACTGAGGGTGGCCTAGGACCAACAGCTAGTAAAAAACTTAGGCCCTCAGTTCAACAACCTGCAAAGAACTGAATCCTGGCAACAATCACTGTGTAAACTTGCAAGCACATTCCTCCCCAGTCATGCCTTCAAATGAGACCAAAAACCAAAAACCTTGGCCAGCACCTTGACTGCAGCCTTGTCCGAGACCAGGAAGCAGAGGACCCACCTAAGTAAGCCATGGCAATTCCTAACCCACAAAAAGTGTGAGATAATAAATGTTATTCTTTAAAACCACTAAGAGGCTGGGCATGGTGGCTCACACCTGTAATCCCAGCACTTTGGGATGCTGAGGCAAGCAGGAGTTTGAGGTCAGGAGTTTGAGACCAGCCTGGCCAACATGGCAAAACTAGTCTCTACTAAAAACACAAAAATTAGCAAGGTGTGGTGGTGGGTGCCTGTAATCCCAGCTACTCGGGAGGCTGAGGCTGGAGAATCACCTGAACCCAGGAGGCAGAGGTTGCAGTGAGCTGAGATCGTGCCACTGTACTCCAGCCTGGGCAACAAAAGTGAAACTCCATCTGCAAAAAAAAAAATACTAAGAGTTGGAGTAACTTGTTATTCAAAATAAATAATGTAGTGGAAGAGAAAGATTTTGCAATATTAAACATTACATATTACTCCTCAATGTACATATATACATATACGTAGATCTAAACATAATAATTCATGATGTAGTTTAACAATTCTTTACATTGGCAACATGACAAGCATTGCACATTAACAGTGCAAATAGTTTTATCTTTATAAAAATATTTAACAAGTTAAATAAAATTAAAATTAAATACTATTAAATATTTTCAAAATATTAAATTTTTATTTTACTTGAATAATTTTTATTTTGTTAATAAAATTTTTGCTTTGAATTTTAATAAATGAAATTAACAATTTCAGAAGAAAAATAACTTTTTAAAATATAAAAATAATTGTTAAATTTTACATTTATTTTAACTTATATTTTTATAAAATTTATGCAAATTTTATGACCTTATACTTTTTTATTTTTTAATTCCTCAGGCCATTTTACAATAAAATACAATTTATGTAAAAATATTGATTATAAAAACACATTTAGTTATTTTGTTGAAATTAAGGGAAGAAAACTAATCTCATGGAATAAGCATGTGTGATGAGTTGAATTGTGTCCCCTGCTCCTAAAATTTACAGGTTGAAATCCTAAACCCCAGTAACTCAGAATATGACCTTATTTGGAAATAGAATCATTGCAGATATGATTAGTTAAGGTAAAGTGAGATAATACCAGAGTAGGGTGAACTGTGAATCCTATATGACTGGTGTCCTTATTAAAACGGGAAATTTGAACACAGAGACAAACATGAAGGGATAACTCTAGGTGACGATTGGAATTATACTTTCCAGTAGGAGCATGAGACAGATCTTTTCTAGCTCCTTCAGAGGGAGCATGGCCTTGTCAATGCTTTGATCGTGGACCTCCGGTCTCTAAAATTGTGAGATAACAAATTTCTGTTGTTTAAGCCACTCAGTTGGTGGTACTTTGTTATAGCAGCCCTAGCAAACTAATATAGTATGCAATAATTTATAAATTATGTATGTCTTTCTTTTATTACTTGCCCAAATATTGCCAGTCTATCAACAGGATACACAGACATACACAATAATACTTAATTAAGCTCAATCAACTTTGATATTCAATCAATTTGTTATTCATCAATTTGATGACATTCAATAACAGAAAACCATAAGTTTAACCATATTTCCCAATTTGTTATTATAAAAGTATATTTAGACAAGGTAGAAAGATAAAAAAGTATAGTTTTAGCTCTTATAATTAGGTCTATGATCCATTTTGAGTTCCGATGGTATATGCTATGAGGTTAAGAGTTCATTCTTGTGCAAGTGGATATTCAGTTGTCCTAGTGTCATTTGTCGGAAAGATTATTTTTGCCCCACTAAATTGTATTGGCATGTTTGTTGAATATCAGTTGCCCATAAGTTATGGATGTATTTCTGAACCTGCAATTCTATTCTGTTGATATATATGTCTATCCTTATGCCAGCACAATACTGTCTTGACTACTATAACTTTGCGGTAGGTTTTGAAATTGGAAAATGTGAGTTCTCCAACTTTCTTCTTTTTCAACACTGTTTGGCTCTTCTGGGTCTCTTGCATTTCCTTATGGAGTTTAGAATAATCTTGTCAATTTCTGTAAAAAAAAAAAAAAAGCCAGCCAGAATTTTCATAGGAATTACGCTGAATCTGTAGCTCAATTTCAAGAGTATTGACATCTTAACAATATCAAGTCTTCCAATCCATGAACACAGATGCCTTTCTATTTATTTAAACCTCTAATTTCTTTCAATGATTTTTGTATGTTTTGTGTAGAAATCTTGCATTTCTTGTGTTAAATTTATTCCTAAGTATTTTATTCTTTTTGATGCTATTGTAGATGAAGTTGTTTTCTTAATTTCATTTTCAGATTACTTGTTCCTAGTGAATAGGAAAAATAACTGATTGTTGCATATTGATCTTGTACCATACCACCTTGAGTACACTTATTTATTAACTCTTAAACTTTTTTGTGGATTACCTAGGATTTACTTTCTGTATATGTGATGTCATCCATAAACAGATAGTTTTGCTTTTCTCCTTTCCAATTTGGATGTGTTTTATTTCTTTTTCTTAACTAATTGCCCTGATTAGAACCTCTAGAACAATGTTGAATAGAAGTGACAAGAACAATATCTATGTCTTGTGTCTGATCTGAAGGGAAAATCTTATTAGCTGTTGGACTTTGAGCAAGATATCTAACTTCTCCGTACTCAGTTTCCTTATCTGCAAAATGAAAATAATAATAGTACCTCCTTTATAAGGTTCTTGTGAAGATTATAAGAATCAATACAAGTAAAGTACATGGATCAGTGCTGGACATATGTCGTCTGCTTTTATTTTGGTCACTTTACTAAACATCACATGTACTGTCATCATCATTCTTAGCGTAATAGACAAGTTGGCTAAATTTCAAAGAATAATTCCTAAACCTGGGTATCTGTGTTACAAATTGTAGCTTATATTAAAGATATCCTCCTTCATAAAAAGTATAACATGAAGGTTGAGCAGATTAAATATGTCTAGAAAGTTGACCCTAGAATTAGTGATGAGAAAATATTGGGCATAGAAACGTAACAAATTAAACAGATTTCAATGAGTTGCCAGTAGATGGCTCTCTTAATCTGCTATTTCATTTTGAGTTCAGCTCTGTGCTTTTTTATATATTAAGTCACATCATCAAAAACCGCTGAAGAATGAGGCAGAGTGCTTTCCAGGAGCGATCTAATTTATTTGCCTTTCTTCTGGTGGGATTTACCATTCACAGTTGTAAACACACTTGCAGAGAAACCTCCTCAGTCAACCTCTGAGCTGAGAAACCTCCTCAGCTATGGTTTTGTTTGTTTTTAATTAATAAAACATGAGGAAACACTTTTGGATTTTGTTTTGTTTCGTTTTATTTTGAGACAAGGTCTCACTCTGTCACCTAGGCTGGAGTGCAGTGGTGCAATCTCAGCTCACTGAAACCTCTGCCTCGGGGTTCAAGCAATCCTCCTGCCTCAGCCTCCTGAGTAGCTGAAATTACAGGTGTGTGCCCCCATGCCCGGCTAATTTTTTAAATTTTTTGTAGAGACGGGGTTTCACCGTATTGCCCAGGCTGGTCTCAAACTCCTGACTCATGCGCCTGCCTCGGCCTTCCAAAGTGCTGGGATTATAGGTGTGGGCCACCAGGCCCGGCCTGGAAATGTTTTAATTGGAGCCTTAGAATGTCAATTATTTTTATTCACCGTGCTAGATGAATGAACATAATTTATTTTTTTAATTTTTCACAGACAATGGACTTCCAGTTTTTCTTGCTATATTTCTTTTTAATAGCTTTAGACCTGTCTAATCCTTCCCTCAGTTTTTCTCTGTATTATAATAAAGCCAAGTAATGGACTTATACAAATTTATCTTTTCTTTCTTTCTTTTTTTATTTTAGAGATAGGATCTCTCTATGTTGCCCAGGCTGCATTTGAACTCCTGGGTTCAAAGTGATCTTCCTGCTTCAGCCTCCCAAGTAGCTTGGACTACAGATACATAGCACCATGCCGGGCAAGTCTATTTGTTCTTTAATATATCGGTTAGCTGTTCAAGACCTTTCTGTTCCTGTGGCACTTTGCCTTCATTTTATTATACTGTCATTTATTAGCATTGATTACTTTTACTACTAGTTCCTCAAATGTTTGGTGAAGCTATACCTTATTCTCTAAGACATTAGTTGCTGTGACAGATACATCCAGATGTTTGCCTGTCAAACCTTACAATGTATAGAGTTCATAGCCCTACCTACTGCTTCTGCAAAGTTCTAGAACTTATTTCCTCAGAATTATGTCTCTAAACTCCTAAATATGCCTGTGCTCTACAGTTCCATCCCATCCTAGGCCAGTTGAGAGAGGAAGAACAGACTCTTCCACTGGTTTCACAAAAAACTTGCTTGTAGCCAAATACTTGATAAAAGTCTGCAGGGTTCTAGAGAGGAGTCACAGGGCAAGGTGCCTAGTCTTTCACCAGTTCAAACAGTTGTTTGGTTTCCCTTCATATTTTCTCTTCTTTACTTCTCTCCATTTCATCCCTATATCTCCAGAATAAAAAAAATAAACTCAACCCTCTTCTCCACAGAACCGTTCTTCCAAGAGTCAGATGTTAAGTTCCTCAGATTCCTGAACTGTTCCCATGGGTAACTCTAAAGCTGGATGGCCTTTTAGGTACGTCCTGAATCAAGGCAAGAGGCCAGCCCTTTGTATCCCTCATTGATCAGTCTTTGGATTCAAGCTATTCTCAGGGAGGAGGGATAAACTTGAGTGAGACACCTCCCTTTGTCTCAGAAAGAGACTCAACTATGAGCCATCAGCAGCCAACACTCCCAAAACCTGAAGGAAACCAATGCTTCGATTCTAAATAAGGCATCTGGGTAGTGTGCTGTAGAATTCACTTCAGAGTCCATCTTCAGAAGAAAAAAGCAAGGCCCCAAAAGCAAGAAATAAACCAGAATAAGCTATGAAGACCCAACAACATTATTTGAGTCCCTTAGCACAGTTCTATTCCTGGAATTTGTAGGGATGTGAGCCAATAGATTCCATTTTCTGCTTTTGCTGTTTGAAATTGGGTTTCTGGCACTTACAACTGAAGGACTCCTGACTAACAATACTTTATGTTTGAAGAAAGCAATAATCACTATTTTCTACTTCCTGCACTTATCACAATGTTTGTATTATAATTTCTTTGTTTATACATCTATTTCTCTAATGAAATTATAAATTTCTTAAAAAATCATATTAGGTTGGTGCAAAAGTAATTGCTGGTTTTGCCATACTTTTATTTACCCTATCTCTAGCATCTATAGAAATGCATAAATAAAGGTGATAGGGAATAAATATTTGTTGAATTAATGAATAAGAAAGTGCCAAGATTATAGACAATGAATGGGTATGGACATGGAAGAGTTCACAGGGCACAATAAGTAAAGAAAGGGTAGTCAAAAATTGACTTACCAAAAAAATAGACTTGAAAGACATAATATTTGGGCTCTCAGAGTTCACATCTCCTCTCTTAGCCCTACCCAAAGTGGAATTTAACCAAAGATACTTAGATTTATTTATTTATTTACTTATTTATTTATGAGACAGAAATGTGTTCTGTTGCCCAGGCTGGAGTGCAGTGGTGCAAACATGGCTCACTGCAGCGTTGATCTCCTGGGCTCAAGTCATCCTCCTGCCTCAGCCTCCTAAGTAGCTGGGACCACAGGCACACACCACCATCCTTGGCCAATTTTTAAAAAAATTTTATTTATTTATTTTTAAATTTTTTTCCTTAAGTTATTGGGGTACAGGTGGTATTTGGTTACATGAATAAGTTCTTTAGTGGTGATTTGTGAGATTTCAGTGCACCCCATCACCCGAGCAGTACACACTGCACCATATTTGTAGTCTTTTATCCCTCACCCCCTTCACACTCTTCCCCTCAAGTCCCCAAAGTCCATTGTATCATTCTTATTATGCCATTGTGTCCCCATAGCCTAACTCCCACATATCAGTGAGAACTTATGATGTTTTGTTTTCCATTCCTGAGTTACTTAACTTAGAATAATAGTCTCCAGTCTATCCTGATCACTGTAAATGCTGTCAATTCATTCTGTTTTATGGCTGAGTAGTATTCCATCACATATATATGATATATGTATCATACATATCATACATCCATATGATATATGTATCATACATATCATACATACATATATGTATATATCTCATATATGTATATATCTCATATATATGATACATATATACACCACAGTTTCTTTATCCACTCATTGACTGATGGACAATTAGTTTGGTTCCACGATTTTGCAACTTGTGAATTGTGCTGCTATAAACATGTGTGTGCAGTATCTTTTTCGAATAATGACTTATTTTCCTCTGGGTAGATATCCAGTAGTGGGATTGCTGGATCAAATGGTAGTTCTACTTTTAGTTCTTTAAGGAATTTCCACACTGTTTTCTATAGTGGCTGTACTAGTTTACATTCCTACAAGCAGTGTAGAAGTGTTCCCTGTTCACAGCATCCATGCCAACATCTACTATTTTTTAATTTTTTTGATTATGGACATTCTTGCAAGAGTGAGGCAGTACCGCATTGTGGTTTTGATTTGGATTTCCCTGATCATTAGTGATGGTGAGCATTTTTTCATATGTTTGTTGGCCATTTGTATATCTTCTTTTGAGAACTGTCTATTCAAGTTCTTAGTCCACTTTTTGATGGGATTGTTTTTTTCTTACTGATTTGTTTGAGTTCATTGTAGATTCTGGATATTAGTCCTTTGTCAGGTATAGATTGTGAAGATTTTCTCCCACTCTGTGGGTTGTCTGTTTACTCTGCTGACTGTTCCTTTTGCCATGCAAATCTCTTTGGATTAATTAGGTCCCAGCTATTTATCTTTGTTTTTATTGCGTTTGCTTTTGGGTTCTTGGTCATGAAATCCTTGCCTAAGCCAATATCTAGAAGGGTTTTTCCAATGGTATCTTGTAGAATTATTATAGTTTCACGTCTTAGGTTTAAGTCCTTAATCCATCTTGAGTTGACTTTTGTATAAAGTGAGAGATGAGGATGCAGTTTCATTCTCCTACATGTGGCTAGCCAATTATCCCAGCACCATTTGTTGAAAAGGGTGTTCTTTCCCCACTTTATGATTTTGTTTGCTTTGTTGAATATCAGTTGGCTGTAAGTATTTGGGTTTATTTCTGGGTTCTCTATTCTGTTCCATTGGTCTACGTGCTTATTTTTATACCAGTACCATGCTGTTTTGGTGACAATGACCTTATATTATAGTTTGAAATCAGGTAGTGTGATGCCTCCAGATTTGCTCCTTTTGCTTAGTCTTGCTATGGCTATGGGGGCTCTTTTTTGGTTCCATATGAATTTTAGAATTTTTTTTCTAACTCTGTGAAGAATGATGTTGGTATTTTGATGGGGATTGTGTTGAATTTGTAGATTGCATTTGGCAGTATGGTCATTTTGACAATACTGATTCTACCCATCCATGAGCATGGGATGTGTTTCCATTTGTTTGTGTTGTCTACGATTTATTTCAACAGTGTTTTGTAGTTTTCCTTGTAGAGGTCTTTCAACTCCTTTATTAGGTATATTCCTAAGTTTTTTTTCGTTGTTGTTTTTTGTTTTTTGTTTTTTTGCAGCTATTGTAAAACGGGTTGATTTCTCGATTTGATTCTCAGCTTGGTCGCTGTTGGTGTATAGAAGAGCTACTGATTTGTGAATATTAATCTTGTATCTGGAAACTGCTGAATTCTTGTATCAGTTCTAGGAGCTTTCTGGAGGAGTCCTTAGGGTTCTCAAGGTAAACCATCATATCATCAGCAAACAGTGACAGTTTGACTTCCTTTTCACTGATTTGGGTGCCCTTTATTCTTTCTCTTGTCTGACTGCTCTGGCTAGGACTTCCAGTACTATGTTGAAGAGGAGTGGTGAGAATGGGCATCCTTGTCTTGTTCCCGTTCTCAAAGGGAATGTTTTCAACTTTGCCCATTCATTATTATGTTGGCTGTGGGTTTGTCATAGATGGCTTTTATTACATTAAGTTATGTCCCCTGTATGCCAATTTTGCTGAGAGTTTTAATTATAAAGCGATGCTGGATTTTGTTGAATGCTTTTTCTGCATCTATTGAGATGATCATGTGATTTTTGTTTTTACTTCTGTTTATGTGGTGTATCACATTTATTGACTCATGTATGTTAAACCATCCCTGCATCCCTGGTATGAAATCCACTTGATCATGGTGGATTATCTTTTTGATATATTGTTGGATTCGGTTAGCTAGAATTTTGTTAAGGATTTTAGCATCTATGTTCATTAAGGAAATTGGTCTGTAATTTTCTTTTTTGGTTGTATCCTTTCCTGGTTTTGGTATTAGGGTGATGCTGGCTTCATAGAATGAATTAGGAAGGGTTCCTTCTTTCCCTGTCTTGTGGAATAATGTCAAAAGGATTGGTACCATTTTTTCTTTGAATATCTGGTAGAATTCTGCTGTGAAACCGTCTGGTCCTGGACTTTTGTTGTTGGTAATTTTTAAATTACCATTTCAATCTCGCTGCTTGTTATTGGTCTGTTCAGAGTATCTAATTCTTCCTGATTTAAGCTAGGAGGGTTATCTTTTTCCAGTAATTTATCCATCTCTTCTAGGTTTTCTAGTGTATGTGTGTAAAGGTGTTCATAGAAGTTTTGAATGATCTTTTGTATTTCAGCGGTGTCAGTTGTAATATCTCCTGTTTTGTTTCTTAGTGAGGTTATTTGGATTTTCTCTCTTCTTTTCTTAGTTAATGTTGCTAATGGTCTATCAATTTTATTTGTCTTTTCAAAGAACCAACTTTCTGTTTCATTTATCTTTTGGTTTTTGTTGTTGTTGTTGTTTCAATTTCATTTAGTTCTGCTCCGATCTTGGCTATTTCCTTTTTTCTGCTGGGTTTGGGTTTGGTTTGTTTTTGTTTCTCTTCTTCCTTGAGGTGTGACCTTAGACCGTCTGTTTGTGCTCTTTCAGATTTTTTGATGTAGGCATTTAGGGCTATGAACTTTCCTCTTAACACCACCTTAGCTGGATCCCAGAGGTTTTGATAGGTTGTATCATTATTGTTGTTTAGTTTGAAGAATTTTTTAATTTTCATATTGATTTCATTTTTGACCCAATGCTCATTCAGGAGCAGGTTATTTAATTTCCACGTATTTGCATGGTATAGAAGATTCCTTTTGGAGTTGATCTCCAGTTTTATTCCACTGTGGTCTGAGAGAGTGCTTGATATAATTTCAATTTTCTTAAATGTATTGACGCCTATCATGTGGTCTATCTTTGAGAAAGTTCTATGTGCTGTTGAATAGAATGTGTATTCTGTGGTTGTTGGATGAAATGTTCTGTATATGTCTGTTAAGTCCATTGTTCCAAGGTATAGTTTAAATCCATTGTTTCTTTGTTGACTTTATGTCTTGATGACCTGTCTAGTGCTGTCAGTGGAGTACTGAAGTCCCCCACTATTATTGAGTTGCTGTCTATCTCATTTCTTGGGTCTATTAGTAATTGTTTTATAATTTTGGGAGTGCCAGTGTTAGGTGCATATATGTTTAGGATTGTGATATTTTCCTGTTGGACAAGGCCTTTTACCATTATATAATGTTCTTCTTTATCTCTTTTAACTGTAGTTGCTTTAAAGTTTGTTTTGTCTGATATATGAATACCTACCTCTGCTCATTTTTGGTATCCATTTGCACGAATGCCTTTTTCCACCCCTTTACTTTATGTGAGTCCTTATGTGTTAGGTGAGTCTCCTGAAGGCAGCAGATAGTTGGTTGGTGAGTTCTTTTCCATTCTGTAGTTCTGCATCTTTTAAGTGGAGCATTTAGGCCATTTACAGTCAATGTTAGCATTGAAATGTGAAGTACTGTTGCATTCATCATGCTCTTTGTTGCCTGTGTACTTTGGTTTTGTTTCTTGTTTTTGCTTTTTAACTTGTATTTTTGTTTTATAGGTCCTGTGTGATTTATGCTTTAAAGAGGTTCTGTTTTGATGTGTTTCCAGGATTTGTTTCAAAATTTAGAGCTCCTTTTAGCAGTTCTTGTAGGAGTGGCTTGGTAATGGTGAACTCTCTCAGCATTTGTTTGTCTGAAAATGACGGTATCTTTCCTCATATATGATGCTTAGTTTCACTGGATACAAAATTCATGGCTGATAATTGTTTTGTTTGAGGAGGCTGAAGATAGGGCAGAAAATTCTCCCACGAACAGACCTTCAGCTTTTCCAGTGGGGGTGTGTGTTCAGGAGAGGAGGGTCTCCCTTTCCCACTTCTGCAGTTGAGGCATTCACAGTATTTGGGGTGTCTCCCAGGTCCTGCAGCAGCAGTCTGCTTCTTTTAGAGGGTCTGTGGGTCCTCTCAGGATTGCTGGTTTGTTCTTGCAGTCAATCTGGAGCTAAAATTCACAGTGCAAGCCTCTGCATGCTGCTCTGTCTGGAGCTACAATCTAGTCCTGCCTGCCATCCGCCATGATCCCACAGTCTCCTTTGCCATTTTTTTAAAAACAATTTTGTAGAGATTAGGGCTTGCCGTCTTGCCCAGGCTGATTACTTAGATTGTTTAACATCAGGTAGCTCTAGGTTGACATTTAAGCTAGGCTTGGTAGAATACTCATTCCTTCTTAAAATATACTTTTTGCTTCCACTGTGATTCTGAACTCCATGTTCATTCTTGATCTTTTATTCATTTGGTCCCAGACCCTATACTGGACTCTGGGAATATAGCTGCAAGTATGATAGGAAGCCCAGCCCCCCAGGGAGTGTATATTCTAAAAAAGGAAGGCAGATTCTAAGCAAATAATTACAAATGCAAGGTATCACATTGTAACATCTTTTGTATTACAAAAGGTAATTATGGGACTGTATAGCAGGAGAGGATAACCTAAATTGTGAAATTAGGGAAATTGTCCTTGAGAAAGCGATATTTTAACCAAAGGAAAAATAGAAGTTAGCTCCATAAAGAGAAAAAGAAACAGAATACAAAGTAAAGAAGGCCGGGTGCAGTGGCTCATGCCTGTATCCCAGCACTTGGGAGGCTGAGACAGGCAGATCACCTGAGGTCAGGAGTTTGAGATCAGCCTGGCCAACATGGTAAAACCCCATCTCTGCTAAAAACAAATACAAAAATTAGCTGGGCATGGTGGCAGGCACCTGTAATCCCAGCTACTTGGGAGGCTGAGGCAGGAGAATTGCTTGAACCTGGGTGGCAGAGGTTGCAGTGAGCTGAGATCGTGCCATTGCACTTCAGCCTGGGTGACAAGAGTGAAACTCCGTCTCAAAAAAAGAAAAAAGAAAAAAAAGAGAATACAAAGTAAAGAAATAGCAAAGTGAGAGTCTAAAGTGGCAGACAAACGCCAGGTTTAGGAAAGGTCCTACAAACTCTTGCCAGCCATCTTGTCACCATGAAGGGAGTCAGAGTTATAGGCCAGGGTTTTTTCAGACTTTACCTTAAGGGCACAGGCAAGTCTTTGTAATGTTTAAAACTGAGAATAAGATTTGATCGAGTGTTTATTGAATGCCGTGCCTTATTCTAACTGCTTACTTACCGATGTGACAAGTACTGTTCTAAATGCTTTACAGGTGCCATTATCTTCATGATATTATAAGGTATTTCTCTGGACTCTCCATCATAGTCTAGCAATTTGCTATCTGCCTCTCTTGGAAGTGGAAGTGACATGATCAGTTTTGAATTCAGAATGGAAAATGATTTGAAAGAGAGTATAGTTAGGATGCTTTTGGTTATAAATTATAAAAAAAAAACCTAACTGAAAGTGGCTTCAACAATTGAGTTTCTTGCGTTATATAACTATAAGCTCAGAGGTAGAATGAACAATGTCATGATGTCTTTCCATTTCTCTTGTTTGACTTTTGCATGGTCTACTTCATCTTAAGGTTGGCTACCCTCTTGATCCCAAGATGGGTGCAGCAGCTTTCCATATTTCTTTGTTCATGCCTCTCTCAGAGGGAGAAACTTCCTCCCAGAAGCCCCCAACAAACATTTTATGGGATCTCATTGGCCTAAAATAATAAGGATTGTGAAGGGAATAGATAAATTCACTAAGTGAGTTAGTGAATTTACTAATTCAGTGGAAATCAATAGGAATTCACTAGGTAGCCAAGCTAACCAGAATCCACTCTTGGAACTGAGGATGAGGTTAAATCTCACCCAAATTAGATGGTTGAGAATGGGAAAGTGGTGTTTCTCCAAAGGAAATTTTGAGTACTGCTACCAAGAGAAGCAGAAATAGATGCTGGGCAGCAAACGCATAGGGAGCAAGACTTGAGTCAGGGAGCCAGTTAGAATTCTTTTGCAGTAATACAAATGAAAAGATGAGAATGGTCTGGACAAGGAGAGGTCAGTGAAAGCTGAAAGAAGTGGACAAATTCATGTGATGCTTAAGAGGTGGAATGGACATGACTTGATAACTGGGTGAGAAATATTAAAAAATGAGGGGAATTGTTAAAAATGGCTTCAGGATTAAAGTTTTCTCTTGCCCAAGCTGTGACAGAGTTAGCCTAAATGTTTAAATAATTTATTGGTCCTGAGTCCCTGAATAAGAAAATCTTACCATAAACAAGTAAAAACAAACAAGCAAACAAAAATCAAAGGGAAAAAATAAAGAAAAGCTTACCATAGGTTTCTTTTTGGGTTGTTTGTTTGCTTGTTTGTTTGTTTTTGAGACAGAGTCTCGCTCTGTCGCCCAGGCTGGAGTGCAGTGGTACAATCTTGGCTCACTGCAACCTCTGCCTCCCGGGTTCAAGCAATTCTCCTGTCTCAGCCTCCCAAGTAGCTGGGACTACAGGCGCCCGCCACCATGCCTGGCTAATTTTTTTTTAGTAGAGACAGGGTTTCGTCATACTGGTCAGGCTGGTCTCGAACTCCTGACCTCAGGTGACCTGCCTGCCTCAGCTTCCCAAACTGCTGGGCCACCATGCCCAGCTCTTTTTGGGGTTTTCTAAACTAAATGTATAAATGGTTCCTTTGGCTGGGCGTGGTGGCTCACACCTGTAATCCCAGCACTTTGGGAGGCCGAGGCAGGCAGATCACGAGGTCAGGAGATCGAGACCATCCTGGCTAACACGGTGAAACCCCGTCTCTACTAAAAATACAAAAAATTAGCTAGGCGTGGTGGCGGGTGCCTGTAGTCCCAGCTACTCGGGAGGCTGAGGCAGGAGAATGGCGTGAACACAGGACGCGGAGCTTGCAGTGAGCGGAGATCGTGCCACTGCACTCCAGCCTGGGTGACAGAGCGAGACTCCGTCTCAAAAAAAAAAAAAAATGGTTCTTTTACCCGTTAGAGTTCGCTCTTGTTCTTTTGGGCCCTCACATGTTTAATTCCATAATTTACTGCTTATCTGTACCATATTCATTCAAATATTAAGGTTACTTCTATCTTAGTGTATTTATATATTAATACTACGCTAGGCAAACATCTGACCCTTAATACAAACTATTGGTCAATGTGTTGAAGTTAGAAATTACTTCAAAGTAGTTTTTTTTTAAGTGTCACAAATTAGTATACCCAGAATTGAAGACACAAACGGGAATGGCTGCTCAGCTGATGATTCCCCTGTGGCTTTTTCTGCTAAGAGATTCCAGATCCCTGGCCACAAAAATAGGCAGGATCCAGCCTGGGTCACTTTAAGTTACTCACTTCCCTAGGTGCAATGATATGTCCAAGGGGTGGGCTTATGTTTCCTTTCTAGAAAGTTTTTAAACTGAAGCTGAGGAAAAGAAATTCCCTCTCTCCTAAAATGACTAAGCTTGAAAATGACTAAGCTTGAAAGAATTCAATTCCAAGTTGCTTTGGCTGTGTACTCTTCACTAATTCAGCTCATCTTAGACGTTTTGATTAACATCAGCGTGCAGAAAGATGCAGAGACACAGATATGTAAAGGGGGAGAGAGGGTGAGAGAGAGAGAAAGAAAGTAAGAGAGAGAGAGAGAGAGAGAGAGAGAGAGACAGAAACCATGAAATCTGGTAGCATTTATATTCCTGGATCCAGATGTCCCTGGAGCCAGCTCTACTTCTGATATTTCTGCAGTTTGATCACATGCTCCACAAAAGCAGGGATGCCAAGGGCCTAGCACATAAGAGGCCATCCAGAAATAATTGTTGAGATAGAGACTTCACTTTGGGCCATGATGGAGTGACAAGGGCCAGATTTACTCTCCCATCTGAAACAATTTTTAAAAATAGACCAAATACATGACACAATGGTTTTCAGACATTGGCTATCAGGAGGTGGAGGACAATGATCCCTAGAGAGAGAGCGAGTGATCACCCCACTTTCCTGCCTAGAGAGATTCCATATTATATTGCAAAGAGGAGGAGTCCAAGTGGAGCCTCACAGTCTGTGAGTTGAGGAAATGGACCTGGGAGAAGACTGCTGCATAGGAGAGCTCCAGAGATCTGTAGAGGGTCTCCCTTCCTTGTTTAGCTAAGTATCGATCAGTGTGTGTGTATGAGGAATGATCTGAGGTGAAAGCTCTAAAAAAGCCTTCAACATTCATAATAGTTTATTTTGGCCAGACCTGTGCTCTGATTTGGGAAGTAAATGTATCCATAGTTTCAAATGAATAAAAACTCTAATAGTTAAAAAAAAAAATCATTGAATAAATGCGAGTCAATCAAGTCTTTTTTCCTTAAGCCAGTTCCAGTTGGGTTTCTGTCATTTGCAACCAAAGAATCTTAATCAATATACCCTACAATTCCACTTCTCAGAGTTTATCTTCAGGGGCTAATGAAGGATTCCAGAGACTTTAGTTATAAGAATATTTATCATTTTAATTATAAGTATTTTAATTATAAAACTAAAAAATCAGAAACAAACCAGAAAATTTTTGTGCAAATTATGATAAATTTGTCTACTAAAATACTTAACATGACATTTTAGTGGCTTTTATTCTTTTTTCTTTTAACTTGTCTGTATTTTCTGTTATTCTACCACAAATTTCTTTCAACTCTTTTTATAAAAATGCCTGTCTCCTTAGTTGGCCTCTAAGTTTCTAGGTTCTTTCTTTTTCTTCTTTTCTTTTTCTTTTTTCTTTTTTTGAGACAGAGTTTTGCTCTTGTTGCCCAGGCTGAAGTGCAATGGCGCAATATAGGCTCACCACAACCTCCACCTCCTGGGTTCATGTGATTCTCCTGCCTCAGCCTCCCAAGTAGCTGGGATTACAGGCATCTGCCATCATGCCTGTCTAATTTTTTGTATTTTTAGTAAAGATAGGGTTTCTCCATGTTGGTCAGGCTGGTCTCAAACTCCCGACCTCAGGTGATCCGCCTGCCTCGACCTCCCAAAGTGCTGGGATTACAGGCCTGAGCCACTGCTCATGGCCAGTTCTTTCATTTTTTGAGTTTCTGTTTCTGATCTAAAGTTTACCACTGGTTTCCAATTTGTTTGTGAAGCAGAGAATATTGACACACTTTTAGTTGCTTGCATAATTCATTCCTTTCCTATAAGATTATAGACTCTTCCTATTTCCCCAGATCCTTTTAAAGGTCTCTAATCTTTGCAGTTTTGTTACATAACTGTTCATACTGCACACATACAGGCACAATAACAATCACTGAGTAGATGGTTAATCTTTCACTAATAGCCTAAGAAAGAAATGCTGTATTGTCAAAGGCATGTGTTCAATAAATTGGGGCCAGAGAATTTAAACTTTTATCAAAACACATTGAAGCAGCTCAGTTATTAAGCTCCGAGATGTTTCACATGTCTGGCTGACCTAATGCTTTGGCAAATACTGAAAGTGACCTATGTCCCTAGGGGGACACATGTTACGTGTAACAATTCAATGTCCCAGATTTTCCAAAAAAGACCTGATTTCTTTCTTTCTTTGTTTTTCCATAACAAAGGTCATTCTTTTATTGGATTTTGACTTTTATATCTCTGGAAGGCTTTTCCTGAAAATGAATTCATGTATTTAAATAAAAGATCTCTAAATAAATTAATGCAGGAACAGAAAACCAAATACTGCATATTCTCACTTATAAGTGGGAGCTAAACATTGAGTACACATGGACACAAAGAAGGGAACAACAGACACTGGGGCCTACCTGAGGGTGGAGATAAGAGGAGGGTAAGGATTAAAAAACTACATATCACATATTATGCTGATTATCTCAGTAACAAAATCATCTGTAAAACAAACCCCCATGACACACAATTTACTCGTGAAACAAACCTGCACAGGTACCCGCTTGGGCCCACACTAAAAGTTGGAAAGAAAATAAGTAAATAACATATTTTGCTAGATTACAAATCTCTCTCTCTCTTTTTTTTTTTTCTTTTTTTGAGACAGGGTCTCGTTCTGTCACCCAGGCTGGAGTGCAGTGGCATGATCTTGGCTCACTGCAATCTCTCCTTCCCGGGTTCAAGAGATTCTCGTGCCTCAGCTTCCCAAGTAGCTAGGATTACAGGCATGCACCACCATGCCCAGCTAATTTTTCTGCATTTTTAGTAGAGATGGGGTTTCACCATGTTGGCCAAGCTGGTCTCTCACTCCTGATCTCAAGCGATCCACCTGCCTCGTCCTCCCAAAGTGTTGGGATTACAGGCCTGAGCCACTGCACCTGGCCTCAATTTTTAATTTAGAAAAGATGATTACCAAAGCATCAGGGTTGGAACAATTCATCTTTAGGTAGGATAATGTGATATTACAGTAGGATCAAAAAGAGATATGAGTGTTGTGGATAATAAAAATCAAATTAAGGCCAGGTGCGGTGGCTCACGCCTATAATCCCAGCACTTTGGGAGGCCAAGGCAGGAGAATCACTTGTACCCGAGAGGTGGAGGTTGCAGTGAGCTGAGATCATGCCACTGCACCCCAGCCTGTTTCAAATATGAATAAATACTTAAATAAATAAATGGAGAAAAGTTAAGCTGTTCTGGTTAAGAGAATATGAAAAGCAGAAGCCCTTTATCCAAATTTGGTGGGTTACTCTTGCTTTTTTTCTGTTTATTAGAGGAAAATTAGAACAAGGAAAAAAGAGTAAACATCACTAAAAATTCCACTACCTAGAGAACTGCTAATGAAATATATTTTTTCAGACTCTAAAGAATGTCTTCTAACAAATTTGATCAGCAGAATGAAATCTTTTCCCCATCTTTCCATGGGGCTGGGAGAGTGAGATTCTGGGCCAAGATTCAAAGTGAAGAAAGAAAATGTTGTCATCAAATTCAGGAGGCAATGAAATGCGTGGCCAGAAAGAGGAGACAAAGGCCAGAAGCTACTGGAAAATGAATTTGATTGAACAGCCAGACTAGAGCAAACTCTGAGAGTGCTGGGTAATAGCTAAAACAGCAGGGCTGGAGGTCCTTTTGCTCGCTTTTTTATTGCCCAGCAACTGTAAGCTGTTGGTTCAATGGGAGTCATTTAAACAGTCAGGGTTGTTAAGAAAATAAAGCGTGGAATGTGGCCATTTTGTTAAACTTATGAGACTGCAGGTGTGAATTTTTGGTTAAAAGTTTTGACTGCTGTAAAAATGTTACTTCGAATATAATTTGAGTTGTAAGGGCAAAAGAAAGATAATCCTCCTATACATTTTGTCATTTAATTGGGATGATTTTTCAAGTTTCTGCAAATATGGTAATTGCAAATTTAAAGCACCGAGCATTTATTGATGAACAATATTCCCATTGAAAGAAATATAAGTGAGCAAAGTTGCAATACATTCTTTAAATTTTTTTTTCCTAGGAAAAGAGTATGAGGGTATTTGATACCCCCTGATTTCTCCTAATTTCTTATATCTCTAAGGCAAAAAAAAGGGAATATGACTTGCAAGAAATATTCTCAGGCCTGAGTAAATAGAGATTTTTCCACACCTGTTATTTTAAAACATTACTATTAGGCCGGGAGCGGTGGCTCACACCTGTAATCCCAGGCCAGCACTCTGGGAGGCCGAGGCAGGGGATCACTTGAGGTAAGGAGTTCGAGACCAGCCTGACCAACATGGTGAAACCCCGTCTCTACTAAAAATTCAAAAATTAGCCAGGCGTGGTGGCAGGTGCCTGTAATCCAGCTACTCAGGAGGCTGAGGCAGGAGAATCAGTTGAACCTGGGAGGCAGAGGTTGCAGTGAGCAGAGATGGCACCACTGCACTCTAGCCTGGGTGACAAAGTTAGACTCCCTCTCAAAAAACAAACAAACAAAAAATTGCTATTATTTGGCCTATTTTCCCCTCTCTTTACCAAATCTATAAAGAGATTATTAAAATATTAAAACCACCAGGCATGGTGGTTCATGCCTGTAATCCCAGCATTTTGGGAGGTCAAGGCAGCTGGATAGCTTGAGCCCAGGAGTTTGAGACCAGCCTGGGTAACAAAGTGAGACCTCGTTGCTAAAAAAAATTTAAAAAAGTAGCTGGTCATGGTGGCAAGTACTTGTGGTCCCAGCTACTCAGAAGGCTGAGGTGGGAGGATCCCTTGAGCCTAGGAGGCAGAAGCTGCAGGAAGCCAAGATACCACTGCATTCCAACCTGGGTGACAGAACAAGATCCTGTCTCAAAAACAAATAAATAAGGCTGGGCGTGGTGGCTCACGCCTGTAATCCCAGCACTTTGGGAGGCTGAGGTGGGTGGATCACCTGAGGTCAGGAGTTCAAGACCAGCCTGGCCAAGACGATGAAACCTTGTCTCTATTAAAAATACGAAAAAATTAGCCAGGCATGGTTGCAGGTCCCTGTAATCACAGCTTCTCGGGAGGCTGAGGCATGAGAATTTCTTGAACCCGGGAGGCAGAGGTTGCAGTGAGCCGAGATCGCGCCATAGCACTCCAGCCTAGGAGACCAAGAGCAAAACTCCGTCTCAAAAATAAATAAAATAAAATAATGCAAACTCAGATATTATTTTGACAGTCAAAAACATTTGTCTCAAAACTTTCAACCTAGCATGTCAAGGTTCAAAACCTCTCTGAAACAATTGATTATTGTTCTGTATCCTTCACTAACCCCTTCCACACCACATCCATCCGGGCTGCGCTTTCAATGCCCCTCCTACGCGTTCTTAGCATATCATTCCTACCTACCACCTTTGCATTAAAATGATCTGCTTATCGGCTTCTCTGGCTAAACTGTAAGCTTCTGTATGGAAAGCCTCCACAAACCCCAGATGAGACTGAATTCCCCTATTACAATTGTCCACAATTCCCTATAGTTTGGCTTTATAATACTTACGCGTGTGATCATATTTGTAACAGGAATGGCAATTAATGCTCTCTAGTCTTACATACCCATTAAGGCTGAGGCTTTCTTTCACACACCATCAGTTTGCAATGTTTCAGGTGAGAAGACAATGGAGCAATATCTTCAGTATTCCAAGGAAAATGGTTTCAACCTAGAATTCTAAATGTAGCCAAGCTTTAATTCAAGTGTAGAAGAAAGACATTTACAGATGTCTGTGTTCTTAAAATTATACCCAACATGTACTCTTTCTTGGGAATTACTGGAGAATGGAAGCACAAAGCAAGAAGGCCAAACATAAAAGAAAGAGGATCCAGAAAATAGGGACTCCAACAGAAGCAGGAGAACTGACTCCTCAGGAGGAGCATGCAGGAGATCCTAGAGTGACACCTGCAAAACATTTCTAGAAAGCAATCTGTTCACGTTGGGGGCAGGGTTAACAGAGACCTCCAAGAAGGATGTTGTCACAAAATGAATGAAAATAAGAAACAACCAATGTATTTTAACATTATGAAAGGAAATTTATAATTCTCGAGGAATGTTTGAGGATGAATTAGTTATAGGTACATAGAAAAGTAAGCAAACAATATAGGCAATTATTAATTCCGGGAAAACCAAAACATATTGTATAAAAGAGGAAATGTAGTCATTGTACAATGTATGGTCATGTTGAATTAACCAAAAGTTGTGCAATGATGTAATTATATAGGGAGAAATGGAGGAGGAAAAGAATGTATGTGAATGTGTTTGTGATGGGGTGTGGTGTTGGGAGCATTATAAGAGAGCTTAATCTTCATCTTCCATAGCAGGAAGCCAAAATATATGAAACTGAACAATCTCCAAATAGCAGCAATACAAGAATGTTATTTAGGAAGACAGAGGCAAGTATGAGAAGAAACAACTAATAAAATCTTTTAAATGTTGCCTTTGAGTACTGGGGATTGGGGGTAGAAAAGGAGAAACAGTGTACTGCTTTTTTCATTATAAGCTTCATAGAATTATGTAACTTTAAAAACTCTGTACAAATATAAACTATTGTTTTAAATAAAAGAGGAAGAAACATTCAACATTTTTTTTCAAGCAATCTTTTGAAAATAAAAGGAATGCTGTGAGGAAACTGAGGGGTGTGAAAGAAAGCCTCAGCCTTAATGGGTATGTAAGACTAGAGAGCGTTAATTGCTATTCCTGTTACAAATATAATCACACGCATAAGTATTATAAAGCCAAACTATAGGGAATTGTGGACAATTATAATAGGGAAATTCAGTCTCATCTGGGGTTTGTGGAGGCTTTCCATACAGAAGCTTACAGTTTAGCTTTAGCCAAAGAGAAGCCGATAAGCAGATCATTTTAACACAAAGGTGGTAGGTAGGAATGATATGCTAAGAATGTGTAGGAGGGGCATTAAGCCCAGCTCGGATGGATGTGGTGTGGAAGGGTTTAGTGAAGGATGTAGAACAATAATCAATTGTTTCAGAAGGGTTTTGAACCTTGGCATGCATAGGTTGAAAGTTTAGAGGCAGGCTGGGCGCAGTGGCTTACACCTGTAATCCCAGCACTTTGGGAGCCCAAGGCGGGCAGATCACAAGGTTAGGAGATGGAGGCCATCCTGGCTAACACGGTGAAACCCCATTTCTACTAAAAATACAAAAAATTAGCTGGGCGTGATGGCATGCGCCTGTGATCCCAGCTACTGGGGAGGCTGAGGCAGGAGAATCGCTTGAACCTGGGAGGCAGAGGTTGCAGTGAGCCGAGATCGTGCCACTGCACTCCAGCCTAGGTGACAGAGCGAGACTCTGTCTCAAAAAAAAAAAAAGAAAGTTTAGAGGCAAATGTTTTTTGACAGCCGGAATAATACCTGGTTTTGTTTTATTTAATTTATTTATTTATAAATAAATATATGGAACACCATTATATAATATTTCTGTGATACAGACACGATAGATGTAAAGAACCTCAAGAAGATAGATAATAGTAGGATTCACTACAATAATTAGGAAGTGATAAGTTTTGAGTATTGTCTGTTTTTAATATAATTTATTTCATTATGTTATAATAAATATTCTGTTTATTTAATTTTTAATAATGGTTAACCACTGTCTCATAAAATTCCTGAATATAAGCCATCTATTCTTATGAGCCAGTATGAGCTGGCTCCAGCACTGTTGGAAATGTTATAATATCTTGAAATATTAATATTTGTGCTTTTTCTCCTCTGTACTTTTAAGGTAGGAGGCGGGACTTGATTCTAGGGGTGGGACTTGGATACTGGACTAGACTGAGGACTAGCCAAGACACTTTTTCACACTTTCTCCCTGGTGTTGCCAAGGAGAAAGCAGTTTTCAATCAGACCCACCCACCAGTGTGCCATGTCAATTTACCGTTGCCATGGCAACACCAGGGTTGTTATCACCCCTTTCCATGGTACCTAACCATTCAACAGTTACTACCCCTTTTCTGCATAAACTGCCCCTTAATCTGCATACAATTAAAAGTGGGTATAAATATGACTGCAAAACTACCCCGAGCTGCTACTCTAAGCCCTGTTCTGCGGGAGCAGTCACCGAGCTGTAACACTGACTGTTCAACAAAGCTGTTTTCTTCTTTCTCTGGATTACCCTTGAATTCTTTTCTGGGCAAGGCCAAGAACCCTCTCTGGCTAAGCTCCACTTTGGTGCTTGCCTGTCCTACATCACTTTCTTGCACTTGATCTTTTGCCTGTAACTCAGAGGTATCTATGCTGCCTTGAGAAGTATGACTGTTATAGTAGGAATGAAAATGGCAAGAAATAAAGGACCTTATTATGCATGGTAGATTAAAAATGTGCCTTCACCACTGGTTCTTCCTGAAATCCCAGTAATGTGACCTCAAAAAAGGTATAAGCCAAAAATGACCAACAGAAAGGGAGAGGAGACAACATAACAAAATTTGAAGAATGGAAGCAGGGGAATAAGTGAGAACAAATATTCCCATCTAGAGAAAATTCAGATCTAAACTTGAAGAGGAGGAGGGTAATAACAAGCTGATTCATGCTGTGAATCACCCCAAAAGCTCAGGAATGGGGGGAATTAGAAAATAAAATTGGAGGAAATCTCTGAGAAAGTAGAGCCAAAATATAAAAATGAAAATGAAAGCCGGGCACAGTGGCTCACGCTTGTAATCCCAGTACTTTGGGAGGCCGAGGCAGGTGGATCACCTGAGGTCAGGAGTTTGAGACCAGCCTGGCTAGCACGGTGAAACCGTGTCTCTACCAAAAATACAAAAATAAGCCGGGAGAGGTGGCGCGTGCCTGTAATCCCAGCTACTCAGGAGGCTGAGGCATGAGAATAGCTTGAACCTGGGAGGCAGAGGTTGTAGTGAGCCGAGATTGCGCCACTGCACTCTAGTCTGGGTGACAGAATGAGACTTTGTCTCAAAAAAAAAAAGAAAAGAAAAGAAAAGAAAATGAAAAAGAGACAGAAAATAGAAAAGATAAGAAAAATACTTACTTCAGCATCTAAATAATAAGAATTTCAGAAAGAAAGAATAGAGAAAACAGAGGGGAGGTGATAATCAAATGCAGGAAAATTTTCCACAACTGTATTGACTTTCTAGAGTAAAACAGCATGCTGTGCTCAGCATAATAGACTTTAAAATACCCACACCAGAGCAAAAGATGGGAAATGTTATTTACTAGGGACAAAAAAAGTTCCTAAACATTTCCAAAAAGAAAAAAAAAGAGGCCACAAACAGATAGAAAAGAATGGCCGTGTGCGGTGGCTCACGCCTGTAATGTCAGCACTTTGGGAGGCCGAGGTGGGCGGATCACGAGGTCAGGAGTTCGAGACCAGCCTGGCCAACATGGTGAAACTCCGTCTCTACTAAAAATACAAAAATTAGCTGGGCCTGGTGGCGGGCACCTGTAATCCCAGCTACTCAGGAGGCTGAGGCAGGAGAATCACTTGAACCCGTGAGGCGGAGGTTGCAGTGAACCAAGATCATGCCACTGCCCTCCAGCCTGGGCGACAGAGTGAGACTCTGTTTCAAAAAAAAAAAAAAAAAAAAGAAAAGAAAGAAAAAGAAAAGAATTGGATTTTCTTTCTTTTTTTTTTTTCTTTTTGGAGAGCTGGTTGTTGTTAAACATTTATCAGTGCAACACTGTCTATAATCTTCTCTATATTATAAAGTCCACGAGGGCAGTAACTTTTTCTGTTTGATTCCTCAAGACTCACAGTTTTATTACCTAGTAGGCACTCTATAAACATTTACTGAGCAAGTGAATGAAAGCTCAGGAATTTTGCCTTCTTCGTTTTTATATCTGATAACAAGCACAGTCCTGATACAGATGAAGCCCTGAAAAAAAAAGTTTGCTGACCTGAACTGAACTTGTAGCAGAGCCTCCTAATGCTGAAAACAATCCCATGGCAATGCAACACACATCCAAGAAAAAGAGTGAGAGGGTTTATTTCTTGAGGCACAATGCTCATTTTCATGGTTGCTTTGTAAGTTAAGTCACTTGTTGCAGTAAGCCCAGGGGGAAAGCCAGATCTCCTTCTTCCTAAAACAGTACCCTATTCATTAGATTTTCTATTTGTCAGAGGCACCAACATTTTCTGACACTAATGTTGGACAGGGGAGCTGGTTACTTGCTTTGTGGCTACAAGATTTTTACTTAAGATAAATGACAGTAAACCAGAGTTGGGAAAAATCAGATAAAGAAGAACCAATGTCTACCATTTAATGAGCACACATTATGCTCATTATAAAACCCGGATTTAAATCCAGTAGCTTTTTCAACAACTGTATAAAGAAGGAATTATCCTAACATTACAAATGAAGATACCAAGGTTTAGAAAGTTTTGTGAATTTGCCTAAAGCATACAACTGATCATTAGCAATAGTGGGACTCAAAAGTTGTCTTAAAACAAACCCCAGTATATTTTGAAATAAAAGGAAATAACACAACCTATTTTGCTGAGAGATAGGGAGGGATCCTGACTCCTACTTGCTGAACAAATTCCCATTGCACAAAACAAGGAGGTTTACAAAACCTTCTTCTTAGGTCACTGAAATCTTCCAAGCAACTAGATTGGAATTAAACTTGGCAAAGATTACTAAATGCCACCAGTGTTAGACAATTGAGAGTTTCTGCAGAACAGAATTCAAGAAAAATGAAACCAAAATTTTGGAAAGCACCTAAAGTGAGAGTCACGTAGGATTCAAAAATCTAAGAAAAGCTTCCTGGCATTTGTGCTGCCCCAGCTGGAGCTGATAGAATTGTTTCTATTCTTTCCTGTATGTTGGAGGAGGAAGTAGTTGGGTTGTCTTTCTTGGCTGTTGAGTGGGAGGAATAATACAGCATTATCAGAGAAAATGGCAAAAGAAAAAAAAGGGGGAATTTTTTTTTGTTAACTGCTGTAAAAATAAATTCGTATCTCTGTGGTGGAAGAACTTGGATTTGGTTTAGTAGGTAATTTGGAATGTTGTCCAGTGCATTTCAATGGGAAAAAATAAAAGAACCTCAGAAAGCTAACAGCCAAGACTGCAGTGGTAGATTTTTTTTTTAAAGCTTGTAAGCCAGGCATGGTGGCTCACGCCTGTAATCCCAGAACTATGGGAGGCTGAGGCAGGTGGATCACTTGAGGTCAGGAGTTCAAGATCAGCCTGGCCAACATGGCAAAACCTGTCTCTACTTATTCCCAGGTATTCAGGAGGCTGAGGCAGGAGAATCACTTGAACCCGGGAGGCGGAGGTTGCAGTGAGCAGAGATTGCACCATTGCACTTCAGCGTGTGCAACAAGAGAGAGACTCCATCTCAAAAAAAAAAAAAAAAAAAAAACAAGGAAAGAAAAGTCTCCTGTAGCACTTAGAGCTATGAGGAGTCCTGCATTTCTTGAGGAAATGAAATCTTTCACTGTAATGAACACTTTGTGATTGAACATGTGTTTTCATTTTGCCCTGGTTGACTGTGTGGCAAATTAAATGACTTCTAGTTGCTATAGAATCATCCCAAAAATAAGAGAGCATTTTTCCTCCCTTTCGCAGGATAGAATAGCTTAGTACTTGGTGTTCTGTTTGTTAAGGTCTAGGATTCCTTAGTTAAGAGAATGTTGCTTTTGAAATCTAGGGTCTTGGAGACTTGCTGGACTGACGTTAAGACAGAAGAAGCTGGAGCAGAGAAAGATTTCCAGAGTAGGAAGACGGGCAGTGGTAGCTCCTCCAGCTGTGGGGATCTATACTCTGCTTCCTCATGGTGGCCTGGAAATAGCAGGAATTTTGATAGGCATGGCTTTGTGTGTACCTGGGGACTGAGCACTAAGCTTCCAGCCTTCCCTCTGGAATGAAGGTCTCCATGGCCAAGTCTGGCACAGAGGGAGTAGCTGTTGTCTTCAATAGAGGCAGCCACCTTTGAATAGACTATATAGATTTGGACAATGTGTGTTTTACCAGCAAATCAGTGGATTCAGGACTCAGTATACACTCTTCCCCACATCGGTTTTCCTGAATGATGTAAGCCTTAGAGCATTCTAAAAATAACTGATTAAATTATCCACTCTAATGGACTCGGGGGATTTAATTTAATCTAGAAAATAATGAAATGTGATATTTCCTACACTTAAGTTGTATTAGTTATCTATTGCTGTGTAACAATATTACCACAAACTGAGGGGTTTAAAATGTAAGTCATTTATTAAAGGCTTAAAACATTATTCATTTATTATCTCATATAGTAAATCTGAATCATAACAGCTCAGCCTGGCTAAATTATTGATTTCAGCCTCGTGAAGCCCTAAGCAGAGAGCTCAACCAAGCCCACCTAGATTTCTTCTTTTTTTTCTTCTTCTTCTTCTTTTTTTTTTTTTTTTGACAAAGTCTCACACTGTCACCCAGGCTGGATTGCAGTGGCATGATCAGGGCTCTCTGCAGCCTCAACCTCCTGTCTCAAGTGATCCTCGTGTCTCAGCCCCTTGAGTAGCTGGGACCACAGGCATGTGTCACTATGCCCAGCTAATTTTTTTGTGTGTGTTTTTAGTAGAGACAGGGTCTCACTGTGTTGCTCAGACTGATCTCGAACTCCTGAGCTCAAGCAATCCTGTCTTGGTCTCCCAGAGTGCTGGGATTACAGGCATGAGCCACCAGGTCCAGCCACTAGATTTATTCTTTTTTTTTTCTTTTTTTGAGACAGGGTCTTGCTCTGTTGTCCAGGCCAGAATACAGTGGTATGACCATGGCTCACTGCAGCCTCAACCTCCTGGGCTCAAGTGATTGTCCCACCTCAGCCTCTGAAGTAACTGGGACTACAGGCGTGTACCACCAGGCCAGGCTAATTAAGAAAAAAAATTTTTTTTGTGGAGTTGGGGTTGCACCATGTTGCCCAGGCTGGGTTCAAACTCCTGGGCTTAAGCGATCCTCCCACCTTGGCCTTCCAAATTGTTGAGATTAAAGCATGAGCCACCACACTCATTCCCACCTAGACTTCTGACTTATAGAACTGTGAGCTAGTAAGAGGATGTTCAATTTGTTATAATTTGTTATGCAGAAGTAGAAAATAATTACAATGCAGCTTTCTCTCTTGCTCACTATGTTTTACCACACAGGTCTCATTTCTCTTTTTCAAATATGTGAAGAGTCTTTCTGCCTTAGATCTTTGCACTTAGGTCTTCCTCTTCCTGAAATACTCTAATAATGACTGGCTCTTTCTCATTCTTTCAGTGTCAGCTTAAATATCACAGCCTCAGGAAGTCCTTCACTGACTACCCTGTCTTAAATACCACTCTCCCAACTTATCATCATATCTTCCAATTTATTTTCTTCATAGTATTAGTATATAGCTCTTATGCAATTACTATGTGGTGTACACAGTTCTAAGCAGTTTACATGGATGCATTCATTTAATCCTCATAATAATCCCATGAGGTTATAAATTAGATGCTATTAATATGCCCATTTACAAATGGGGAAACCGAGGTACAGAGATTGAGTCACTTGCAAAGATCACACAGCTAGTAAATAGCATAACCGAGATTTGAACCCAGGCAGTCTAATTCGCGTGCACACACTGAAAACTATATATCCTCTACAGTATTTATCACAATCTAAAATCATCTTTTTATTTACTTATTTATTGTCTTTCTCTCCCTCCATACTCCTAACATACAAGCTTCTGGAAGGTAGGGATCTTATTTGTCCTTTTATGTAGTAGCTGCTCAGCAAATATTTTGGAATGAATGATTCTTCCCATTTTTCAGACGACAAAAGTGATACCAGAGAAATTAAGTAGCTTGTCTAAAGTCACACAGTTAGTATGTGGTAAAACCAGGATTTGTACCCGGGTCTGTCTAATCTCAAACCTGTGCCCTTAGCTTCTATTGCCTTCTTCATTAAAAATAACAGTAATAGTAATAATTACATGCCAATTTTTTTTTTTTTTTTTTGAGATGGAGTCTCACTCTGTCGCCCAGGCTGGAGTACAGTGGCGTGATCTTTGCTCACTGCCAGCTCCGCCTCCCAGGTTCATGCCATTCTCCTGCCTCAGCCTCCCAAGTAGCTGGGACTACAGGCGCCCGCCACCATGCCTGGCTATTTTTTTGTATTTTTAGTATTTGTATTTTTTTTTGTATTTGTATTTTTGTATTTTGTATTTTTGTATTTTGTATTTTAGCATTAGCCAGGATGGTCTCGATCTCCTGACTTCGTGATCTGCCGACCTTGGCCTCCCAAAGTGCTGAGATTACAGGCATGAGCCACCACGCCCGGCCGCCAATTTCTTAATATGTGACATTGCCCATAGTATGAATACAGTTTTTTCAATGAGCAAAATGAGTTATCCAAAATGGTTTCTTGGAAAATATTGTGACTTTGGGGAAGGAAGCTCATCCTTGCTGTCCTATCACTTCATTTTGTGTTTTTCTGTTTTTCCTCCAGGGGCCTTTTCTGTCACTTCCTTTGAGGCATTTTCTGGGTCAGGGAAATCTTTCTAGTGCCCTTCAACTGTCTCTGCCTACCCATAAGGCTGGCCTTGTGTCCAACACCAGCTTCCCTGCCTCTGAGGGGTTTGCCTTCCCTGGCCATGACATGTAATAACTGTTTCCCTTTCCCTTTCTTACCACACTAGTTTTTCTCTCGTCTAAGTGGCCCTTCCCACCTCTGAATAGCCAAATTACATGTATTTTAGATAAAACTTTCTGCCCCCTCTGAAAACCTCCCTTCCTTGTGGTAGACCTCTGAGTGCTATATTGAGATTTTACTATAGATAGTTATCACTGTTTAAGGTCTCACAGCTGACTCCATTGACAAAACAACACAGTAAAGCCAAGATTCTGGCCTGCGAAACATTTCCTCAATAACCTGACATGAAACAAAGACAAGCACACTGAGGCATTTGGCCCAGGCTGCATGAGTCCATGGAAGTTAATTGTTTGGTGATTTCCTGTACCTGAGGCACAAATGCTTCCTTTTCCAATTATAGACTCACTAAAGCCTCTGTCAGCGCAATGAAATTAGGGACTTCAAGGGCAGCCTGTATTCAGATAACGCTCAGTGGTAATTCAGGCTGTGAGGTTTGCAGGACTGACACATAGTTCATAAAGTAACCACAGGCCCTCCCAGTTTGAGGATTCTTGATTACAGTTCTGAATACTTCTGGAGGAGTGCTGGCCCTCCTATCAATGATTCCTTGCTTCTATTGCACCCCATGGAGTTCAGAGCCTATTTCTTACAAAGGAGAAAAAAGTGCGCGTGGATAGTATGCAAATATAAGCTACCAAGGAGTCCACATTCTTAAGCATAATATAAAAGACCCTTTATGAATTGTGTATACACACACACACGCCCACACAGATATCACTGTTTTCTGCATTTATTATGTTGCTTTATATATATTAACTTTTCTCTGTCCCTTATGAGGTTATTGAATTTTTAGGGTATGGACCAGGTTTCCTCAATACCGAATCTACTGTATGGCACATTATAAGCTCAATAAAATGTGTATTTAATAAAGAATTAATGATTTATCCAGTTGTATACATTATGTGCAGTTTTTTGTATGTTAATCAAAGTTCAGTAAAGTTGTTTTTTTTTTTTTTAAAGAAATGTTGGCCGGGCTAGGTGGCTCATGCCTATAATCCCAGCACTTTGGGAGGCCAAGGTGGGTGGATCACGAGGTCAGGAGTTAGAGATCAGCCTGACCAACATGGTGAAACCCCGTCTCTACTAAAAATACAAAAATTAGCTTGGTGGTGTCACCTGTAATCCCAGCTACTCAGGAGGCTGAGGCAGGAGAATTGCTTGAACCCTGGAGGCAGAGGTTCCAGTGAGCCAAGATGGCGCCATTGCACTCCAGCCTGGGCGACAGAATGAGACTCCGTCTCAAAAAAAAAAAAAAAAGAAACTTTTTTGAGACAGGGTCTCACTGTGTCACCCAGGCTGGAGTGCAGCCGCAATCTCAGCTCACTTGCAGCCTTGACCTCCTGGGCTCAAGTGATCCTCCAGCCTCTGCCTCCTCAGTTACTGGGACTACAGATGTGTGCCATCACGCCCAGCTAATTTTCTTGATTTTTTTGTAGAGATGAGGTCTCACTATGTTGCCCAGGCTGGTCTAGAACTGGCTAGCTCAAGTGATCCTCCCACTTCAGCCTCCCAAAGTGCTGGGATCACAGCCGTGAGCCACAGCACCTGGTCCCATTTTTAAGAAGAAATAAAAGAAACACTATATGTTCCCTTATTTTAAAAGTATTTTCCACCATATAAATATTTTAACAACTGGGAGTTTATTTGGGTTAATAAGCTACTCTTTTAAAGCATCGATGTTCATGTGGAGTTGAAACCATCAGTCATCCTTGGCCAGGCGTGGTGGCTCACGCCTGTAATCCCAGCATTTTGGGAGGCCGAGGCAGGCGGATCACGAGGTCAGGAGATCGAGACTATCCTGGCTAACATGGTGAAACCCCGTCTCTACTAAAAATACAAAAAAATGAGCACTTGTAATCCCTTCTACTCGGGAGGCTGAGGCAGGAGAATGGCGTGAACCCAGGAGGTGGAGGTTGCAGTGAGCCAAGATCGCGCCACTGCACTCCAGCCTGGGCGACAGAGTGAGACTCCGTCTCAAAAAAAAAGAGAGAAACCATCAGTCATCCACAATTCGGAGTGAATTACTTCAATCTGCTGAAAACCTGGCTCAGATCAGTAGGAGTTGAGAGGCTAACTGGGGTAGAGTAGTACATCTTTGTTATTCTTTTTGGCTGCCCAGCACCTTTGAATATTCTTGTTATATTTGATGATTTCTCTACTGAATAGAAGCCAAATTTCACTTTCTCAGTCTCCCTTGCAGTTAGGCTCCTCTAATCATATACATTTGCACCAGGCTTTGAAGTGAAGGCTAGAGAGATGAAGAAGCAGGTGGAACTAGAAAGTGCATCTAGATTCCCAGGGAACAGTACCAGAGGTTCTATTAGAAGTGTTCGTATCTCACATTAATGTCAGTAGTGGAGGCAGTAATGGTTTCCCGGTGTTCTGTGACGTAATTTGGCCTCTTACAACCCTGGTTTTTACACCTCCCAGGAAATTCTGTGAATTATTTAATGGTGTTTAATAAATTCCTGGCCAGATGCAGTGGCTCACGCCTGTAATCCCAGCACTTTGGGAGGCTGAGGTGGGCAGATCGCTTGAGGTCAGGAGTTCAAGACCAACCTGGCAAACATGGTGAAACCCCATTTCTACTAAAAATACAAAAATTAGCCGGGTGTGATGGTGGGTGCCTATAATCCCAGCTACTCGGGAGGCTGAGGAGGGAGAATCATTCAAACCCAGGAGGCAGAGGTTGCAGTGAGCCGAGATCACGCCACTGCACTCCAACCTGGGTGACAGAATGAGACTCTGTCTCAATAAATAAATAATGAATAAATAAATTCCTTTTCTGCTTAAGCTAGCTAGAACATGTTCCTGCATTTCCTTCCTTCCCTTCCCTTCCTTCCTTCCCTCTCTCCCTCTCTCTTTCCTTCCTTTCTCTTTTCTTTTCCCTCCCTCCCTTTCCTCCCTCCCTTCCTCCCTCCCTCCCTTCCTTCCTTCCTTCCTACCTTCCTTCCTTCCTGGGTCTCACTCACTACAACCTCTGCATCCTGGCTTAAAGTGATTCTCCTGCCTCAGCTTCCTGAATAGCTGGGATTACAGGCATGTGCCACCATACCTGGTTAATTTTTGTATTTTAGTAGAGATGGGGTTTCACCATGTTGGCCAGGCTGCTCTCGAACTCCTGACCTCAGGTGATCCACCTGCCTTGACCTCCTAAAGTGCTGGGATTACAGGCGTGAGCCACCACACTCGGCCTGCATTTTCTATCTAATATGTTGACTAACATGGAAATACATTGGAAGAAGGGAGTAAGTACCTTGGTGTGGTGCTTTGGGAAAGATAAGATGGAATAAAGATGGGTGACTTTGGACAGGGGAATAGCAGTAACAATTGTGAATCCTTGGAGGAGCAGAAGGAAAGCAGCAGATATGATGGTAAACGAGTCACCAAATTTTGCCTATTTTGTAATTTTCCCTGTGTTTCTTGTAGGAGCCACTGAGGACTTAAAAGATTGCTTATCTTTTCGTGAGCAAGCCGTATGCTGAGATATACCATGACTAGTTTCAAAAACTGGGGACTTCAGTCTTCTCTAACGCACTCTAGCTCCCCAGTCCAGAGAACCCTAAACTCCTCTAATGTAGATGGGGCTCTCTAAATTGGTTTCTTTTCTTGTGTAACATCTAACCCTTTCTTGGTGAGGAAGAACGAGAAGGAAAGGGAAGGGTAGAGTAAGGTAGGGTAGGGGAGGGGAGGGGAGGGAAGGGGAGGGGAAAAAGAAAGGAAAGAAGGAGGGGGAAACTGTGTGGAGAGAAGAAAATTCTAAGGCAAGGAGAATATACGCAAATATCCATTTGGAAAAGGAGGAGCATGCTGCCTCTTCTATCCTTGGCTTTTCCCTTTAAGGCATCCATACAGTACTTTTCCCATTGGAAAAGTCTTCCAAAACATATTCCTTTGAAAATAGTTAAGACCCTCTTGTAAACACTAACTTAGATATGGAGCACCAGGGGCCAGGCGCGGTGGCTCACGCCTGTAGTCCCAGCACTTTGGGAGGCCAAGGCGGGCAGATCACCTGAGGTCAGGGGTTCAAGACCAGCCTGGCCAACATGGCGAAACCCTGTCTCTACTAAAAAAAAAAAAAAAAAAAATCGAAAATTAGCTGGGCATGGTGGCACGCGCCTGTAATCCCAGCTACTTAGGAGGCTGAGGCAGGGAGAATTGCTTGAACCCAGGAGGTGGAGGTTGCAGTGAGCCGAGATTGTGCCAGTGTACTCCAGCCTGGGTGACAGGGCAAGACTCCGTCTCAAAAAAAAAAAAAAAAGAAAAGAAAAGAAAAAAATATGGAGCACCAGAATAAATGTAGAATTTGAAGAACTTTATTAATTTTATTAATATATTTATTAATTTAGCCAACAAATCTTTATTGAGACCCTTTATGTGCCAGGCACTAATCTTGGGAGCAGTGTTGAATAAGATAGATAAAGGCCTTTGGGAGCTTTCATTAGCATTGAGCTCACCTATACTCTCATGTTTCATAATCTATTAAAATAAATGTCCTCTCTTGAAATCATAGCAGTGGTACAATGACAGATTAAAGTATCCATACAAGGTTACATACAGGTAGGTGCTTAGTATAATTGCTTTGTAATGATAAAATGATGACACCATTAAAACTCTGAGTATAGTCAGGGTAATTTCTTAAACTTTATAAGGCAATGGAAAAAATAAATTTTTATCAAGAATATTAGAAAGAGCTATAAATCCATCAATCGAGACTTTCTATGTAGACAAATAGATGTATTTAACCTGTGAGTATGCTATTAGTGTTATCTTTCCTGTTCCTGATGTTTCTTCCATTTGACAGGAGCCCATTAGTGTATATATCAGTACAGTGCTCCTGATCTTCTGACAACACTGCACTCATTCCACCCTGGGGCCATCAGTGAGTTTGAAAAAAAGAAACTGGGCATGAGCAGTTTAGCTTCTTCCTCTTGGGAAATAGCTGAAGAGAGGAAGCGTGGGTTTTTTTTTTCTGTTCCTGTAGGGACAGGCACTGCCAGTGCTTGGGGTGAGAAGGGGGGCCTGCCTAGATCCAGCACTGCCTGCAACTGGGTAGGTACGTCTGAATAATTCTGGACTCAGTATTACAAAGCCCACTTGCTCAGACAATTTAGCCCTCCAACTTAACCTTTACCCCTAATCAAGTTGATTTCTTTTGGCTCTGACTGCCTTACTCCTGTATCTTTTTTTCCCATTTATTCAGAAGTCAGGTGAGGAAAAGGGGCTAGTTACTGGTTCCTCAAATTAGGTGAAGATTGCCCCACAACTGAGTAAAGAAAAACATAAAACTCAGTGGAAAGAGCCCAAGCTCTGACATCAGACCTGGATTTTGAATCCTGGCTGTGTGATCTCGGTTAAGCCACCTTGCCTCAAAGAACCTCATTTCTTCTTCAGTATCCTGGAGACAATATGTCTAGTATTGTTTCAAAGATGCAAGGTATCATATGTAAACTACCAAACACAATTCCTGGCATTTAATAAATAGTAACTGGCAGCAGTGGTAGTAGGAGTAGTAGTGATTTGGGGTATCAAGCATTAGTTAGAAAGGTGTTTCTGCCTTCAGGAAAACTTATCTTTTTGAAGTGATAACTCTAAACTTAAAAAAAAATTACCAATTAACTAAAAAATGCACATTTCATACAAAACATTGCATGTCTTTAAATTTGGACACTCAATAATTTCTTTGGAATTCAGGAGAGATATTAAAGATAACTAAAATGAAAAATTATTTTGAGTTTATTATCCCTTTGATTATCCTGGAGGAAAACTTTGTTAGTAATAAGATTTTCCGGCCAGACCTGGTGGCTCACGCCTGTAATACCAGCACTTTGGGAGGCCAAGGTGGGTGGATCACCTGAGGTCAGGAGTTTGAGACCAGCCTGGCCAACATGGTGAAACCTCATCTCTACTAAAAATACAAAAAATTAGCCAGGTGTGGTGGTGTGCACTTGTAATCCCAGATACTCGGGAGGCTGAGGCAGGAGAATCACTTGAACCTGGGAAGTGGAGGTTTGCAGTGAGCCAAGATCACGCCACTGCACTCCAGCCTGGGCGACAGAGTGAGACTCTGTCTCAAGAAAAAAAAAAAAAGATTGAAGACGAAAACAATTCTTTTGTGCTGACAAGTGGAAACTGTATGTTTTTGCAAGGCACTAACAAGCAGTTTGTAGATTATAAGAACTCCATGCTTCAACATTCTATTATGAAGTTTCATTTTAGGAACCAGCCCAAGCCAGAGGGGAAATTCTTTTGGACTGAAATGCTCACCCATAATGCAAGTCATCAAAGAAATGACTGAAAACATGTATTAATATTATGTTAATATTATATATCTATTTGGTCAATGCAGACAACTAGGGATACTTTAATAACTGGATTCAGTTAGGTTTCTGACACTGGCATAATAAAATGAAGTGATTCTTCCCCCTACTCTTAAGCAATATTGCCTAATCAGAATGCTCTTATTGGCTCCAAAGGAATAAGGTTTTCAGACTGTTTTTTTTTTTTTTTTTGCATCTTCTCCAATTTCTGCCTAGGGGAAAAATAGGTTTGGGATGACGTATTTGCTGAACTAATTATTTTACCTAATATATATATATTACATATTATATGTTTTCTTTTTTTCTTTTTTTTTTTTTGAGACGGAGTTTTGCTCTTGGCACCCAGGCTGGAGTGCAATGGGGCGATCTTGGCTCACTGCAACCTCCCGGGTTCAAGCGATTCTCCTGCTTCAGCCTCCTGAGTAGCTGGGATTACAGGTGCCTGCCACCATGCCCAGCTAATTTTTGTATCTTTGGCCTGGCTGGTCTTGAACTCCTGACCTCACGTGATCTGCCTGTCTCGGCCTCCCAAAGTGCTGGGATTACACGCGTGAGGCACTGCACCTGGCCTTAGCTAATATATTAATTAGAACTCTTTTAGTGGACAGTATAAAAAATTCAACTCCTGATATAAAGAAATAGCATAAGCAAAAATGTGTATTTACTGGCCTTTATTAGTTCGGAGTTATATAACTTTAGGCATGGCTGGATCTAAGTGCTCAAACCAATGCTATTCAATATAAATACAATGCAAGCCACAAATGTGAAACACATGCATAATTTTAAATATTTTATTTGGCATACAAAAAAGAAAAAAGTAGATAAAATTAATTTTACTATGTTTTATTTAGCCCAATATATCCAAAATATTCCAACATGTAATCAATATAAAAAATTATTAATGATAAATTTTACATTCTTTTATTCATACTAAATCTTTGAAACCCAGTGTAATTTTATGCTTACAGCACATCTCAATTTAGACTAGCCACCTCTCAAGTACTCAATAGCCACATGTGCCTAGTGGCTACTATACCAGACAGTGCAGGCTATAACAAGGCATCTGGATGATATTTCTCACTATTGTTTCACTCTGCTTTTGTCTCTGTTGGCTTTAGCCACTGAGAGGCAAGATAGCACACCTTATACCCCATCAGTTTAACAAATACAGTAAAAGAGCATTGTTCCTAAAAGTTCCAGAGAAACTGTTGCTCTTGATATTCATTGGCCTGTACTGGATCCTGTGACTCTCCTTGAGCCAATTATCAATAACTGTGACCGGGGGATGTGACACTCTAATTTGTCAGATTTCACGAATAATTCCTAGAGTTAAGAGTAGGATAAGTTCCATGACATGGATTGAGATTGAAGAAAGGGTTTCCAAAGAGAGTAACTGTGATGCTGTAAGAAGGTAATCAGTGCCAGATACCCCAAAGCAAGGCATACTCATTGCTTATATTTTAAAATCTACTCTTCTATCATACAAAGGAATAAGATGACCAACTCTGAATTGATTAACATACCTCATTCAGAAAGGGTTATTCTTAGAGAAATGGCCAGGAGAAAAATCACATCAATTCCTTATGGAACTCCTCTCCAACCCCCAACCAAAACAAAAAGGAAAGAGCCAATGAAATGTGGTTAAATATACATCAAGGGAGACTTTAAATGGAAGACCTCTCAGAGAGGATGGATATGGGTGCAAGAAGAAAGAGAAGGTGGAAGGCTAAACCTATTCTCTAAATAAAAGTTGAGATTTTTCTGGGAGGGGGCATTGTCTCGAGAAAAGCCCGCATCTTTTGTTTGTTTGTTTTGAGACGGGGTCTCATTCTGTCACCCAGGCTGGAGTCTAGTGGCACGATCTTGGCTCACTGCAGCCTCGGCCTCTCTGGCTCAAGCAATCCTCCCACCTCAGCTTCCCCAGTAGCTGGGACTACAGGCATGTGACACCACACCTGGCTAATTTTTGTACTTTTTGTAGAGAGAGGGTTTTGCCTTGTTGCTCAGGCTGGTCTCAAACTCCTGAGCTCAAGCTATCCACTTGCCTTGGCCTCCCAAAATGCTGCGATTGAAGGCATGAGCCACCGTGCCTGGCCAAGCCCACACCTTGTTAATCACCAGTTTTCTTTTATACCTTCTGGTAGACTCTGACTGAGTCACTTCCCAGTCAATTCTCCCTGGAAAGATTCTGCAACCCAGTAGCAACTTAACTCCAGGAACATTAGATACAATCTGAAATGACACTATTTCTGAAGGAGGCTTCATGGGTGCTTGCCTAGGATGCATACATAAGAAGTAGAGTTTTATCACCTGTGATCCAGGGCCAAATTGATTCCTAGTTTCCAGGGAGATATGAGAAACACAAGTTGGTAAACAGAAGTGGAAAGCCACTCTTTGGGTAGAGTGACCTTGTAATTTTTATTTTTCTGAGACTTGGCAAAAACTGAATACCAAGGGAAGCCTTGAAGGTGAGGGAATACTAGAGTCACCATGAAGGCAGAAGGGAGACAATTGCTGGTAGCCAGCTTCAGCCTGCACTATTCTCTCAATATGTAAGTGTCTCCAGTAGGCTTCAGCTCCAGCTGGCAGCATCTCTAATTACCTTCCTCCAGCTGGAGAGTCCTAGCACCTAACCCACAAAGGAACACTAGGTCTTGGATGACTCCAAAATCGCATATTCAAGGAGCATTCTATTTCCTTGTTTCTTATCCATGATTCTTCTAATATAAAGACAGCTTTGCCTAGAGCTGTGATGAATCAGTCTGGATCCAATTAGGAGAGAGAAAATTACATAGTAATTTGAGGAGGGCAAGTTCAGTATAAATTTGATATAAAGAAGGAGATGAGAGTAAGATGGGATTAGCTAGTAGTAAAGAAGTAAAGAGAATTAAAATATAGAAATAAAATATAGAAATAAAATATAGAAATTAAAATATAGAAATAGCAGATATGAAGAGCTACTTCTAGGGCTGAGAGAGCATGCCAAGGATAACCCCATCTCCATCCCACATGGCTAAGATTTTGACCTTCTTGGAGACGGCACCACTGTGGCTCAATGGATGGCAGATAAGTCACTGTGGTGCAGCACAGGTAGAAAGAAGCTTGCTGGAATGGGGTCACTAGAACTTGCCAGAAATTCACCCTCTGGGTTGCTGGGAAATTTTCACCAGAGTGCTTCATACAATTCCGGGGGAAGCTGATGACTTCTGGATACAGAAGCCAGGTGCTAGAGAAGCTGGGAATGCTGTAGGACCTGCTGAGAGAGCACATGGACCAGGAAGGAAAACTCACTTCCTCCTGCAAAGTCTCCCCATCACCACCCTCTACTGACAAAACTTAAGGGCCAGCTGTAACAAAAAAAAATATCTAAAGGGCACATATTCACTTTTACGGAACAGTTTAAAAGAGTTAATATGAAACCACGAGGCAATAAAACAACCAGCTCCCAGGTTCCCAAATTTTCCCTAAAAAGACGCAAGATGACATTACCTTGTGAGACACCTCTCTATGTGCTATCCATGGCACATGCTGTAATTCTATCCTTTTCTACTCAAGATAGACTGCTGTCAGAATGCAAATAAATAAGAGGGATACTATTATAGAGATGATCTTAATGCTTCAAAAGGCATGCCATAAAACATTGCTTTTTATATACTTCAAAATGAATAATTTTGTTGGACACTTAGACTGTTTCAAGGTTTTCACTATGATGAATGTGGTCCATTCTCTTTTTGTGACTTTCCTGTGGCAAGTTATTTTACTTCCCTGAGCCTCAGTTTGAGGCTCAATTTTTTTTTTTTTTTTTTTTTTGAGATAGAGTCTCACTGTGTCACCCAGGCTGGGGTGCAGTGGCGTGATCTCGGCTCACTGCAACCTCCACCTCCTGGGTTCAAGCGATTCTCCCGCCTCAGCCTCCCGAGTAGCTTGGACAACAGGCGCCTGCCAGCACGCCCAGCTAATTATGCCTATATTTAGCATTATGCCTATATTTAGCATTAATTTCTTAGGTTTGATTTAGAAATATGAACATTTCTAAAAATCACTCACCAACTGCTTTCCTTAAACTATTAATAATATCTTCTACCTATTGAACTCTTCCCATGTGCCAAACACTACAGAAAGTGCTTTACTGCATACATATTTAATTTGATCCTTATAATTAACTCAATGAGGTAGATATTATTTATTTCTATTATATAGATAAAGAAACTGAGGCTCAGAGAAGTAAAGTAACTTGCCACACGAAAGTCACAAAAAGAGAATGGACCACAGCTGCTGTTCATGGAACACAGCAAATTTATTGGTCAGAGAAGACAGAACTGAATCTAAGGCCACAGCATCTAGCTTCACCTCGCCGACTCCTAGCTATTCTTCAGTTTTCAGTTTATGCATCTCTGCCTATGGTGATCGTCTACATTACTCAGCCATATTTACTGCTAAATTACTAGAATGGAGCAAAATACTAGGCACAAAGTGGGCATTCAAATATGTTTTTATCATAAAGGTTTTAAGGGAAAGAGCAGATACACCAGAAAGAGTAAATAAATCAGTACTAACAAGAGAAAAATTCACAGATACTGATTTACACAGAGGGTAGGATTTCAAAGATCCTTCTATTCCCATCCATGTTCTTCCTGACACAGAAAGGACATGATGGGTTAGTCGTATGATTTGCACAATAAAAAGCACCATTAATGCAATATTTGAACTTTGCACACATTTGGTGTGAGAATCATTATTTATATTTGTTCTGCCTTGAAGAGCATTTGGGAACTTCATTGTCTTTTGAGGCTTGAAATATAGCAAACAGCACAGTGAACTCCCCTGCAACCCCCAAAAAAGAATGAGAATTAGGGAGGCTAGAATCAGAGTAGTAACAGAAGCTAACATCTGTACCAGGCACTGTGATAAATACTTTATATACATTATCTATTTAGGCCCCATAATAATCCTGTGATGCTACTATGTCTTGTATTATCATAATTATTTAACTGATCAGGAAACTGAAGGGTTGTGAAGTTAAACAAAATACTCAAGGTGACATAGTAACAATGTCTTAATTCTGACCCCTAAGTTCCTAAATACTATGCTATAAAGTACTCTTAGTAAGTTTGATGTCTCATAAAAATATATACTGTAAGGACACCCACAGTGAAGTTACATGTAAATGCAGAAAGATACAGGATAGAGCAGAGACAAGCTTTTAAAATGGCTGGAATCTGCTTAGCCAATCTGAATTTGTAGTAGTTGATTTGAGTTTGTATGATAGCCAGATCCACTGACTTGACCATACCAAAAGGGTTGCAAATGGAAAGAGTTTAGGTTTTTCACATAGCTCTTAATAGATTAGGCATTATTCACTAATAGATTAGGCATTATTCACTGTGATAATAAGGACAGGTAAGACATGAAGAAGGGAGCTGGGTAGTGGTGTGCAGCTGTAGTCCCTGCTGTGTGGGGGGCTGAGGTAGGAGGATCCCTTGAGCCCAGGAGGTCAAATCCAGCCTGGGTAACATAGCTAGATCTTCTCTCTGGAAAAAAAAAAAAAAAAAGTAAGCAGCAGCAGGAGGAAGAGACAGAGGATAGGAAGTAAAGTATAGGTAGTTATTAAACAGATTTTTAAACAATCCTAATCATAAAAGCAACAGCAGAAATAGCTAATCGTCACTGAGGCCTTACTATGTGTTAAGTCCCTGAATTATTTAATCTTATCCTTTCAACAACCAATAAAATAGGTGCCATTATTGCCCTCATTTAGGTTCCCTGACTCTAGCAAATGGCTAAATAATCCTACCAATAGAAATCTCTAGCTTTTGCATCTTTTTTTTTTTCTGGGAATATCTTTCACAGTGCTCCTGAACAATTTTTCTTTTCTTTTTCTTTTTTTTTTTTTTTTTGAGATACAGTCTCACTGTGTCACCCAGGCTGGGGTACAGTGGCGTGATCTCGGCTCACTGCAACCTCCACCTCCTGCGTTCAAGCGATTCTCCCGCCTCAGCCTCCGAGTAGCTTGGACGACAGTCGCCTGCCAGCACGCCCAGCTAATTTTTTTATTTTTAGTAGAGATGGAGTTTCACCATGTTGGGCAGGCTGGTCTCAAACTCCTGACTTCAGGTGATCCACCCACCTAGGCCTCCCAAACTGCTGGGATTACAGGTGTGAGCCACCACGCCCAGGACTGAATTAAGTTTTATTGTTCCCTCTTCTTGAAAAGCTCTCTTCCCTTGGCTTCTATGACACATCGCCACATTTTCCTACTTCCCTTGTCCTTTCTACCTGTCCTTGGGATTCCTTCTCCACTTTTGTCTTTAAAAATCTGGTTTCTCTCCTCAGCCTTTTCTTCTTTTTCTCAGTTGACCCATTGTGTCTTCTCTCATACCTTAAGTAACATCTGTTCTTACACTCTGTACATGCTGATGATTCCAAAGTCAGTCTACTGGACATTTCTGTCTGAATGCCTTGCATACACTTCATTTTATTTATTTTTGTTTTTGAGACGGAGTCTTCCTCTGTTGCTCAGACTGGAGTGCAGTGGTGTGATCTTGGCTCACTGCAACCTCTGCCTCCCAGGTTCAAGCAATTCTCCTGCCTCAGCCTCCTGAGTAGCTGGAATTACAGGCATGAGCCACTACACCCAGCTAATTTTTGTATTTTTAGTAGAGATGGGGTTTCACCACATTGGCCAGGCTGGTATCAAACTCTTGACCTCAAGTGATCCACCCATCTCGGCCTCAAAGAGTGCTGGGATTACAGGAGTGAGCCACCATGCCCGGCCTGTCTTACATACACTTTAAACTCAGCTTGTGCAAAACTGAATTATATTCTTCACTTATTCCCTGAATCTCTTCTCCCTCTTCTGTGCTCTTGCTCAGTAAATGTTATTCGCCATTATCCCTCCAGGTGCCCAAGTCAGAAACCTGGGTATCATGTTTGGCACCATCTCGGCCCTCACCTGTCATTTCTAATCCATAGCCAAGTCCTATCAACTCAACTTCCCAATTACTTCTCAAACTGGCCCAAGTCACCGCCACTACTTCAGTTTAGGTCTTTTTCTTTTCTTAGTTAGTATGATAGAAGCTTGCTAGTGGTCCTAAAGTTCATCCTGCCCTTTGTCTACGGTAATAAATCCCTGTTTTTAAACTGGGCACATGGCCTGACAAAATAAAACCTACATTTCCTAGCTATCCTTGCAGCTGTGCAATGTTCATGTGTCTAAATTCTGGCGAATGGGGGCTGGGCATAGTGGCTCACTTGAACTGCTACACCAGCCCTGGATTGCTTATGCTCAGCCTGTTAGGTGAGGAAAGAAGTTTTATCTTGTGCAAACCACTGTTATTTGAGTTTCTGTTACAGTAACAAAATCTATAGATTAATACTCTTAGTTTAATGCAACAGCCTTCTAATCAGTCTTCCTGCCCTGACTTTAACTTTGCTTCAACCCATTTTCTTCCTTAAATTCAGATTAATCATTGTCAAATTCAAATGTGATTATATTATTCCCTGCCACCCTCCACTTCCCATGCCATTTCCTTCAGTGTGTACTTTATATTCCTTAGCCCGGCATGCCAAACCCTTCATAAACTGGCCTCTGCCTTATCTCTCTAATCTTACTTGTAATCGCTCCCTACCTTGTATTCCAAGCTCCAACCATGCAGAACATTTGCAGTTTCACAGAACAAGCCAAGTTCTTGTACTTCAGTGCATCTGTGCATCTGGAAATGCAGTTTGCTCTGCGCAGAATGTCCATTCCCTACCCCTACTAGTTTCCCTGGTTAGGTGTTTCTACTTGTTAGGATTCAGGGCATCTCTTTTTGGAAGTTCTTCTTGACCACCCAAGAATCAGTTACAGTATCCTCTTATGTACTCCCAAAGTATTCTGTGCATATGTTTATCAAAGAATTGCTGGTTTACTTGTCTACTTCCCTCCCCAGCCCCCTTCCCTATCGATTGTTACTTCCTGGATAGCAATACCTATTTTCTCATTCACAGGTCTGTCACCAGGCCCTAGCACAAACCCTGGCATACAGTAGCACTTAAAAAATATTTACTCGGCTGGGCAGAGTGGCTCACACCTGTAATCCCAACACTTTGGGAGGGCGAGGTGGGTGGATCACCTGAGGTCAGGAGTTTGAGATCAGTCTGGTCAACGTGGTTAAACCCTATCTCTACTAAAAATACAAAAATTAGCCAGGTGTGGTGGTGGGCGCCTGTAATCCTAGCTACTGAGGCAGGAGAATCGCTTGAACCCGGGGAGGCGGAGGTTGCAGTGAGCCGAGACCATGCCACTGCCCTCCATCCTGGGTGACAGAGTAAGACTCTGTCAGGAAAAAAAAAAAAAGGCTGGGCGCAGTGGCTCACACCTGTAATCCCAGCACTTTGGGAGGCTGAGGCAGGCAGATCACAAGGTCAGGAGATCGAGACCATCCTGGCTAACATGGTGAAACCCTGTCTCTACTAAAAATACAACACAAAAAAGTTAGCCGGGTGTGGTGGTGGGCGCCTGTAGTCCCAGCTGCTCGGGAGGCTGAGGCAGAATGGCATGAACCCGGGAGGCGGAGCTTGCAGTGAGCCGAGATCAGGCCACTGCACTCCAGCCTGGGCGACAGAGCAAGACTCCGAAACAAAATTTTTTTTCTCACGGCTGGACATTGTGGCTCATGCCTATAATCTCAGCATTTTGGGAGGCTGAGGTGGGTGAACTGCTTGAGGCTAGGAGTTTGAGATCAGCCTGGGTAACATGGTAAAACCCCATCTATACTAAAAATAAAAAAATTAGTTGGGCATGGTGGTGCATGCCTGTAGTCCCAGCTATTGGGGAGGGTGAGGTGGGAGGATCACTTGAGCCCAGGGGGTAAAGGCTGCAGTGTGCCGAGATCGTGCCACTGCACTCCAGCCTGGGTGACAGAGCAAGACCCTGTATCAAAAACCACAACAACAACAACAACAACAACAACAACAACAACAACAACAACAACATTGTATTCAGTGAGTAAGTCAATGATGAATGGATTCCATGTAGTTATGACAATAGTACTTGAATAGAATACAGAGACCATAGTTTTGTGCCTGGTTTGGCCACTTCCTGGGTGGTTTTAGTTGAAACCATTTCACACTGCTTGAATTGAATCAGATAAGCTCCCAGGTTCCTTCCAGATATATGATTTATAAGTACATAATATAGTAAAAGTATGCAAACTTACAGAGCTGACAACCTTAAAGGACTGGCTAGGTGACTCTTGTATTAAAAAATACTTTGGACCTAGCGTGGTGGCTCAGGCCTGTAATCCCAGCACTTTGGGAGGCCGAGGCAGGCAGATCACGAGGTCAGGAGTTCGAGACCAGCCTGGCCAACATGGTGAAACCCTGTTTCTACTAAAAATACAAAAATTAGCCAGCATAGTGGCACACATCTGTAATCCCAGCTACTCAGGAGGCTGAGGCAGGAGATTTGCTTGAACCCAGAAGGCGGAGGTTGCAGTGAGCTGAGATCGTGCCATTGCCCTCCAGCCTGGGTGACAAGACCAAGACTCTGTCTCAAAAAACAAACAAACAAACAAAAACAAACTCTGGCTAGGCATGGTGGCACATGCCCATAGTCCTAGCTACTCGGGAGGCTGAGGCAGGAGAATCTCTTGAGCCCGGGGGTTCTAGGCTGCAGTGTGCTATGATTACCTGTGAATAGCCAATGGACTCCTGTCTGGGCAACACAGCAAGACCCCACCTCTTAAAAGAAAAACTTTGAAAAAACATGCCAAATAAAATGAACTTTTGTGGGTGTACCGCACTGTGTGTGAGCCAAAGCAGGGCAAGGCATCGCCTCACCTGGGAAGCACAAGGGGTCAGGGAATTCCCTTTCCTAGTCAAAGAAGGGGGTGACAGCCGGCACCTGGAAAATCAGGTCACTCCCACCCTTATAACTGAGCTTTTCCAATGGGCTTAACAAATGGCACACCAGGAGATTATATCCCACACCTAGCTCGGAGGGTCCTGTGCCCACAAAGCCTCACTCACTGCTAGCACAGCAGTCTGAGATCAAACTGCAAGGCAGCAGTGAGGCTGGGGGAGGGGTGCCTGCCATTGCTGAGGCTTGAGTAGGTAAACAAAGTGGCCGGGAAGCTCGAACTGGGTGGACCCCACCACATTTCAAGGAGGCCTGCCTGCCTCTGTAGGCTCCACCTCTGGGGGCAGGGCACAGACAAACAAAAGGCAGCAGTAACCTCTGCACACTTAAATGTACCTGTCTGACAGCTTTGAAGAGAGTAGTGGTTCTCCCAGCACACAGCTTGAGATCTGAAAACGGGCAGACTGCCTCCTCAAGTGGGTCCCTGAGCCCCGAGTAGCCTAACTGGGAGGCACCCCCAGTAGGGGAGGACTGACACCTCACACGGCTGGGTACTCCTCTGAGACAAAACTTCCAGAGAAATGATCAGGCAGCAGCATTTGCGGTTCACCAATATCCACTGTTCTGCAGTCACCGCTGCTGATACCCAGGCAAACAGGGTCTGGAGTGGGCCTCCAGCAAACTCCAACAGACCTGCAGCTGAGGGTCCTGACTGTTAGAAGGAAAACTAACAAACAGAAAGGACATCCACACCAAAAACCCATCTGTACGTCACCATCATCAAAGACCAAAGGTAGATAAAACCACAAAGATGGGGAAAAAACAGAGCAGAAAAACTGGAAACTCTAAAAATCAGAGCACCTCTCCTCCTCCAAAGGAGCGCAGCTCCTCACCAGCAACGGAACAAAGCTGGACGGAGAATGACTTTGACGAGTTGAGAGAAGAAGGCTTCAGAAGATCAAACTACTCTAAGCTAAAGGAAGAAATTCAAACCAATGGCAAAGAAGTTAAAAACCTTGAAAAATAATTAGACGAATGCCTAACTAGAATAACCAATGCAGAGAAGTCCTTAAAGGACCTGATGGAGCTGAAAACCACAGCACGAGAACTACGCGACGAATGCACAAGCCTCAGTAGCCGATGTGATCAACTGGAAGAAAGGGTATCAGTGATGGAAGACGAAATGAATGAAATGAAGCGAGAAGAGAAGATTAGAGAAAAAAGAATAAAAAGAAAGGAACAAAGCCTCCAAGAAATATGGGACTATGTGAAAAGACCAAATCTACATCTGATTGGTGTACCTGAAAGTGACGGGGAGAATGGAACCAAGTTGGAAAACACTCTGCAGGATATTACCCAGGAGAACTTCCCCAATCTAGCAAGGCAGGCCATTCAAATTCAGGAAATACAGAGAACGCCACAAAGATACTCCTCGAGAAGAGCAACTCCAAGACACATAATTGTCAGATTCACCAAAGTTGAAATGAAGGAAAAAATGTTAAGGGCAGCCAGAGAGAAAAGTTGGGTTACCCACAAAGGGAAGCCCATCAGACTAACAGCTGATCTCTCGGCAGAAACTCTACAAGCCAGAAGAGAGTGGGGGCCAATATTCAACATTCTTAAAGAAAAGAATTTTCAACCCAGAATTTCATATCCAGCCAAACTAAGCTTCATAAGTGAAGGAGAAATAAAATACTTTACAGACAAGCAAATGCTGAGAGATTTTGTCACCACCAGGCCTGCCCTAAAAGAGCTCCTGAAGGAAGCACTAAACATGGAAAGGAAAAACCGGTACCAGCGACTGCAAAATCATGCCAAATTGTAAAGACCATCAAGGCTAGGAAGAAACTGCATCAACTAATGCGAAAAATAACCAGCTAACATCATAATGACAGGATCAAATTCACACATAACAATATTAACCTTAAATATAAACGGGCTAAATGCTCCAATTAAAAGACACAGACTGGCAAATTGGATAAAGAGTCAAGACACATCAATGTGCCGTATTCAGGAAACCCATCTCACATGCAGAGACACACATAGGCTCAAAATAAAGGGATGGAGGAAGATCTACCAAGCAAATGGAAAACAGAAAAAGGCAGGGGTTGCAATCCTAGTCTCAGATAAAACAGACTTTAAACCAACAAAGATCAAGAGAGATAAAGAAGGCCATTACATAATGGTAAAGGGATCAATTCAACAAGAAGAGCTAACTATCCTAAATATATATGCACCCAATACAGGAGCACCCAGATTCATAAAGCAAGTCCTTAGTGACCTACAAAGAGACTTAGACTCCCACACAATAATAATGGGAGACTTTAACTCCCCACTGTCAACATTAGACAGATCAATGAGACAGAAAGTTAACAAGGATATCCAGGAATTGAACTCAGCTCTGCACCAAGCGGACCTAATAGACGTCTACAGAACTCTCCATCCCAAATCAACAGAATATACATTCTTTTCAGCACCACACCACACCTATTCCAAAATTGACCACATAGTTGGAAGTAAAGCACTCCTCAGCAAATGTAAAAGAACAGAAATTATAACAAACTGTCTCTCAGACCACAGTGCAATCAAACTAGAACTCAGGATCAAGAAACTCACTCAAAACCGCTCAACTACATGGAAACTGAACAACCTGCTCCCGAATGACTACTGGGTACATAACAAAATGAAGGCAGAAATAAAGATGTTCTTTGAAACCAACAAGAACAAAGACACAACATACCAGAATCTCTGGGACACATTCAAAGCAGTGTGTAGAGGGAAATTTATAGCACTAAATGCCCACAAGAGAAAGCAGGAAAGATCTAAAATTGACACCCTAACATCACAATGAAAAGAACTAGAGAAGCAAGAGCAAACACATTCAAAAGCTAGCAGAAGGCAAGAAATAACTAAGATCAGAGCAGAACTGAAGGAAATAGAGACACAAAAAGCCCTTCAAAAAATCAATGAATCCAGGAGCTGGTTTTTTGAAAAGATCAACAAATTGATAGACCGCTAGCAAGACTAATAAAGAAGAAAAGAGAGAAGAATCAAATACACGCAATAAAAAATGACAAAGGAGATATCACCACCAATCCCACAGAAATACAAACTACCATCAGAGAATACTATAAACACCTCTGTGCAAATAAACTAGAAAATCTAGAAGAAATGGATAAATTCCTTGACACATACACCCTCCCAAGACTAAACCAGGAAGAAGTTGAATCTCTGAATACACCAATAACAGGCTCTGAAATTGAGGCAATAATTAATAGCTTACCAACCAAAAAAAGTCCAGGACCAGATGGATTCACAGCCGAATTCTACCAGAGGTACAAGGAGGAGCTGGTACCATTCCTTCTGAAACTATTCCAATCAATAGAAAAAGAGGGAATCCTCCCTAACTCATTTTATGAGGCCAGCATCATCCTGATACCAAAGCCGGGCAGAGACACAACCAAAAAAGAGAATTTTAGACCAATATCCTTGATGAACATTGATGCAAAAATCCTCAATAAAATACTGGCAAACCGAATCCAGCAGCACATCAAAAAGCTTATCCACCATGATCAAGTGGGCTTCATCCCTGGGATGCAAGGCTGGTTCAACATATGAAAATCGATAAACGTAATCCAGCATATAAACAGAACCAAAGACAAAAACCACGTAATTATCTCAATAGATGCAGAAAAGGCCTTTGACAAAATTCAACAACCCTTCATGCTAAAAACTCTCAATAAATTAGGTATTGATGGGACGTATCTCAAAATAATAAGAGCTATCTATGACAAACCCACAGCCAATATCATACTGAATGGACAAAAAACTGGAAGCATTCCCTTTGAAAACTGGCAAATGCCCTCTCTCACCACTCCTATTCAACATAGTGTTGGAAGTTCTGGCCAGGGCAATTAGGCAGGAGAAGGAAATAAAGGGCATTCAATTAGGAAAAGAGGAAGTCAAATTGTCCCTGTTTGCAGATGACATGATTGTATATCTAGAAAACCCCATCGTCTCAGCCCAAAATCTCCTTAAGCTGATAAGCAACCTCAGCAAAGTCTCAGGATACAAAATCTATGTGCAAAAATCACAAGCATTCTTATACACCAATAACAGACAACCAGAGAGCCAAATCATGAGTGAACTCCCATTCACAATTGCTTCAAAGAGAATAAAATACCTAGGAATCCAACTTACAAGGGATGTGAAGGAGCTCTTCAAGGAGAACTACAAACCACTGCTCAATGAAATGAAAGAGGATACAAACAAATGGAAGAACATTCCATGCTCATGGATAGGAAGAATCAATATCGTGAAAATGGTCATACTGCCCAAGGTAATTTATAGATTCAATGCCATCCCCATCAAGCTACCAATGACTTTCTTCACAGAATTGGAAAAAACTACTTTAAAGTTCATATGGAACCAAAGAAGAGCCCACATTGCCAAGTCAATCCTAAGCCAAAAGAACAAAGCTGGAGGCATCATGCTACCTGACTTCAAACTATACTACAAGGCTACAGTAACCAAAACAGCATGGTACTGGTACCAAAACAGAGATATAGACCAATGGAACAGAACAGAGCCCTCAGAAATAACGCCGCATATCTACAACTATCTGATCTTTGACAAACCTGACAAAAACAAGAAATGGGGAAAGGATTCCCTATTTAATAAATGGTGCTGGGAAAACTGGCTAGCCATATGTAGAAAGCTGAAACTGGATCCCTTCCTTACACCTTATACAAAACTGAATTCAAGATGGATTAAAGACTTACATGTTAGACCTAAAACCATAAAAACCCTAGAAGAAAACCTAGACAATACCATTCAGGACATAGGCATGGGCAAGGACTTCATGTCTAAAACAACAAAAGCAATGGCAACAAAAGCCAAAATTGACAAATGGGATCTAATTAAACTAAAGAGCTTCTGCACAGCAAAAGAAACTACCATCAGAGTGAACAGGCAACCTACAGAATGGGAGAAAATTTTTGCAACCTACTCATCTGACAAAGGGCTAATATCCAGAATCTACAATGAACTCAAACAAATTTAGAAGAAAAAAATAAACAGCCCCATCAAAAACTGGGCAAAGGATATGAACAGACACTTCTCAAAAGAAGACATTTATGCAGCCAGAAAACACATGAAAAAATGCTCATCATCACTGGCCATCAGAGAAATGCAAATCAAAACCACGATGAGATACCATCTCACACCAGTTAGAAGGGCGATCATTAAAAAGTCAGGAAACAACAGGTGCTGGAGAGGATGTGGAGAAATAGGAACACTTTTACACTGTTGGTGGGACTGCAAACTAGTTCAACCGTTGTGGAAGTCGGTGTGGCGATTCCTCAGGGATCTAGAACTAGAAATACCATTTGACCCAGCCATCCCATTACTGGGTATATACCCAAAGGATTATAAATCATGCTGCTATAAAGACACATGCACGCGTATGTTTATTGTGGCACTATTCACAATAGCAAAGACTTGGAACCAACCCAAATGTCCAACAATGACAGACTGGATGAAGAAAATGTGGCACATATACACCATGGAATACTATGCAGCCATAAAAAAGGATGAGTTCATGTCTTTTGCAGGGACATGGATGAAGCTGGAAACCATCATTCTCAGCAAACTATCGCAAGGACAAAAAACCAAACACTGCATGTTCTCAGTCATAGGTGGGAATTGAACAATGAGAACACATGGACACAGGAAGGGGAACATCACACACCAGGGACTGTTGTGGGGTGGGGGGAGGGGGAGGGATAGCATTACGAGATATACCTAATGCTAAATGATGAGTTAATGGGTGCAGCACACCAACATGGCACATGTATACATATGTAACAAACCTGCACATTGTGCACATGTACCCTAAAACTTAAAAGTATAATAATAATAAAATTTAAAAAATGAACTTTTATTGCAATATTTAAATTATTTCTACTTGTAGCTTTAAAAACTATTTTTGTAGAATCAATTATTTTCACAAAATCCTTCAAAAGTATCTATTATAATCTCTGAGAAGTAGAGAAGGTAAAAATAAGAGATATTGGGTAATTTATTACATCTAGAAGCAGGGACAGAAGCAGAGTCAGAATCTGATTCAGAATGGACTTGAAAGAATATCCCACCTTTGGTAAAAGAGTCATGTGGTATAATAAAGCTAAAACAGTCAAGAAAGCAGAGAACTAAAACAAATTGCAGATAGATTAAAACAGCAAATACTAGGCTGGGTGCGGTGGCTCACACCTGTAATCCCAGGACTTTGGGAGGCCAAGGCGGAAGGATAGCTTGAGCCCAGGAGTTCCAGACCAGCCCGGGCAATATAGTGAGACCTTATCTCTACTAAAAATTAAAGGTAGAGACAAGGCTGGGCACGGTGGTTCATGCCTGTAGTCCCAGCTACTTGGATGCTAGGGCAGGAGGACCGCTTGAGCTCAGGAGAGTGAGGTTGCAGTGAGCCATGAACATGCCACTGCACTGCAGCCTGGGTGACAAAGCAGGACTCTGTCTCAAAATAAATAAATAAACAAACAAATAATTTTTTAAAAAATAATAAAAAGTAAAGAAACAAAACAGCAAATACCAGAGCTAAGGTATAAAATGACATTCTATTTCAGAACCACATGATTATTGGCTTGGCAGCATTCTTTTTTTTTTTTTTTTGAGACAGTTTCGCTCTTGTTGCCCAGGCTGGAGTGCAATGGCGCCATCTCGGCTCACTGCAACCTCTGCCTCCTGGGTTCCAGCGATTCTGCTGCCTCAGCTTCCCAAGTAGCTGGGATTACAGGGATGGGCCACCACACCCAGCTAATTTTGTATTTTTAGTAGAGACAGGGTTTCTCCATGCTGGTCAGGCTGGTCTCTAACTCCTGACCTCAGGTGATCCGCCTGCCTCGGCCTTCCAAAGTGCTGGGATTACAGGTGTAAGCCACTGTGCCCGGCTTGGCAGCATTCTTAAGTGGTAATCATCTACCTTTTCCCTACCTTTAAGCAAGGCTATGCCTAAGTAGTCCCCAAACAAATAATGCAAATCTTTAAAGTATTTGGAAAAAGAATATCCTACAATTCTTTTTCTATACTTGTACAAGTACCATACGATAATGGTAACAGAGAAATGTTATTTACCTTAGCAATCCTCTAATTTTATCACCTTTATTTTATAGCTGAAGAAAGAGAGGCCCAGAAAGTTTGTGATTTGCTCAAAACTTTATAGTAAGATTGTGGCAGAGCCAGAACTAAAACCCCACTTTTTCTCATCTTCAGTCCCCTGCTCCCTCTGTTTCAAGAGGGATTATGACTTTCAGCACCTTCCCCATTTGGTTCTCCGTATTTCTTGGTAAGTTTTCAATATGGTCCCTAGTTCCCTATCCAAGGCCTTATCTCCTAGTTCATGGAGTGAACCATTTCCAGCAATGTGGGATCATACATTCAAGATTCTCATCCTTACCTGGCTGTAGTAGGCAGTTCTACCAAGATTCCTGTCCCTGGCATACATGTCCTGTATAGGCTCTCCCGTTTCATGTGGGCAGGCCTTATGGATATGAGATAGCCGATTGCTTGATAGTTTACATTATACAACAAAGGGGACCATCACTTTTGGTCAGGCAGTGGCAAAAAACTAATATACTAGCCTTACATCATTACATTTAGTGAGAAAATGAAATGCTGAATTAAGCTCCCTCAACTTCCCTTATTTCCACCTCTAAAATGCTGTGTGGTTTTCCAACCTTTTCTTCCCTCCCAAGCAGGTGAAAGATACCTCTTTCTTTTCAAGATTATCAAAAGTATCTCTCAATATTTTCACTTTTTCTCACTCCTCTAGTCCTCCCCCATAACCTACAAACATGTACAGTCTCCCACCTGACAGAACCTTTCCATGACTGCAACTCTTTTGAACTTTGATGTTTCTGTCCTTTCTCTGTGTGAGACCTGCTTGTCCCAGATCTGCCCTACTGTTCCTAAAGAACACTGGGCTCATCTCTGCCCAGATCCATAATCAGTAATGTCCAGCAGGTCTCACTCAGTTCTCAGCTCAGTGAAATAAAATGAGAATGGTGCACAATAGGGCACTATAGACATTGGTTCCAAGACGGCCTTTGGCCAGACAGTTCCTCTACTTGTGTGATTACTCTAACCTCTGGCTGCTTAGACCTTTTAGACTGGCTTCATGATTGATTCATTCTCTGAGCTAAGCTTTCAACCCTTTCTTCTCTAATCAGTAAGTTGTCTTCTCTCTTCTGACATAATACTCATTTGAGGGCCTTTTTTCAACTTATAAAAAACGATGTAATGAAACCCCATATTCTCTTACCCAGCTTCAACACCCATCAACAGAAACCCATGTTGGGTTATTTTTAAAGCAAATGTCATACCTTATATCATTTTCTCCCAAAATAAATACTGGATTACGTCAATCAGCATAATGTTTTCAAAGTCCATCCATATTTCAGCATGTACCAGTATTTTATTTCTTTTTATTTCTGGAATAATATCCTTGTATTAGTTCATTCTCATGCTACTATGAAGAAATACCTGAGACTGGGTAATTTATAAAGAAAAGAAGTTTAATTTACTCACAGTTCCACATAGCTGTAAGCCTCAGGAAACTTACAATCGTGGCGGAAGGCACTCTTCACAGGGCAGCAGGAGAGAATGAGTGCAAGCAGGGGAAATGCCAGATGGTTATAAAACCATCAGCTCTTGTGAGACTATCACAAGAACAGCATGGGAGAAACCACCATGATCTGATTTCCTCCACCTGGACATGTGGGGATTAGAGTTCAAGATGAGATTTTGGGTGAGGACATAGCCAAATCACATCAATCCCATTGAATGGATACACATTTTATTTATCCTTTCATCAGCTGATGGACATTAGGGTTGTTTCTACTTTTTGGCTATTATGAATTATGCTTTTATGAATATTGGTGTACAAGTTTCTCTATCTATCTATCTATCTATCTATCTATCTATCTATCTATCTATCTATCTTCATTTCTCTTGGGTATATTTCTAGGAGTGGAATTCCTAGGTCATATAGTAACTTATGTTTAACCTTTTAAGGAGTTGATAGAATGTTTTCCAAAGTGACTGCACCATATTACATTCCCACCAGTTGTATATGAGAACTCCAATTTCTCCACACCCTCATCAACTCTTATTAATATCTGTCCTTATGATTCTAGTCAGTCTAGTGGCTGTGAGGTGGCATCTCACTGTGGTTTTAATTTGCATCTCCCTGATCGATACTGATGTTGATCATCTTTTTATATGTGTGCTGGCCATCTGCATATGCATATCTTCTTCAGAGAAATGTCTATTCCAATTGTTTGCCAAGTTTAAAACTGGGTTGTCTTTTTATTATTGACTTATAAGAGTTCTTTATATATATTCTTGATGTAAGTTTCTTATTAGATAAACAATTTGTAAAAATTTTTCTCCCATTCTGTGGGTGGTCTTTTCAATTTGATGGTGTCCTTGAAGCACAAAAACTTTACATTTTGATTATGTCCAATTTACCTCTTGTTGCTTATATGCTTACTCTACTTCTAATATTTTTTTATTCCTTGAAATTTATTTGTTAAAGGAACTTGGTCATTATGTCCTATAAAATTTCCCGTATTTTGAATTTTGCTAATTTTAACCCAAGCATATTGTTTGACATGTTCTTTCATCTCCTATATTTTCTATAAACAGAACAAGCATTAGCTTTAAATATCTGCCAGGAATGTTTCATAGGTGATGCTGTATACATCCTATACATCTTCCATAGATGTATCATCTTACACTCCCTTCTTTATATCATGTGATGAGGCACATAGTGCCTCTGGTGTGTTTGACTGGTTAACTCTGGGTGTGTGTGTGTTTGATGTTAAGATTCATCAGTGGGTTCTGGTCTTATCAGCCTGATCCAACCATTTAAAGTTCCCCATAAGGCTCTTATCTAATGGTTTAGCAGCAATGATCTTTGGATCAGTGCTGTCCAACAGATCTTCATATGATAATGGAAATGTTCTGTCTGTATACTGTCCAGTATGGCAGCCCTTAGCCACCTGTGGCCTACTGAATACTTAAAATATGCCTAATAAAACTGAAAACTCAATTTTTAGTTTTATTTAATGAATTTAAGTGGCCACATGTGGCTTGTGGCTACGGTATTGGATTATACAGGTTTAGCTTAATTATTTCATCTGAGTCTGCATTTCTTAGCTGAAATTCTTTTAAAAGAATTTTACTTCATCAAATATGACTACCTTGAAATATAGCTGGATACTGTAAAATCTATACTTGGTCTTCATTCCATTTCCTGGCATAAAACTCATAAAATCCTTGTGATTTCCAAAGGAATAATTTTTTTGTATGCTAATAAAATGACTGGTGGCTGGCAGCTTCTGTGTAGCTTCAGGATGGGGGCTGGTAAAAGACGATTAGAGGTTTAGGACTGATACCGTTTGGCTCTGTGTCCCTGCCCAATTCTCATCTTGTAGCTCCCATAATTCCCATGTGTTGTGGGAGGAACCTGGTGGGAGATGACTGAGTCACGGGGGCGGGTCTTTCCCGTGCTGTTGTTGTGATTGTGAATAGGTCTCAGAAGATCTGATAGTTTTAAAAATGGGAGTTTCTTTGCACAGGCTCTCTCTTTGCCTGCTGCCATCCATGTAAGACGTGACTTGCTCCTCCTTGCCTTCTGCCGTGATTGTAAGGCCTCCCCAGCCAGGTAGAACTGTAAGTCCATTAAACCTCTTAATTCTGTAAATTGCCCAGTCTCAAGTATGTCTTTATCAACAGCATGAAAACGGATTAATACAGGACTTTTTAGCCCTACCACCTAACCTCCAGGAAGGGGAGAGGGGCTGAAAATTAAGTTGATCATCAGTGGCCAGTGATTTAGTTGATCATGCCTCTGTAATGAGGCCTCTACCAAAACCCAGAGAGCTGAACATGTAGAGGTTTCTGGAGGGTGGTGCACCTAGAGAAGGCATGGAAGCTCTGCGCTCCTTCCCACATGCCTTGCCCTATGCATCTTTTCTACTTATCCTTTGTAATATCTTTTATAATAAACTGGTAAATATTAATATTCCCCTGTGTTCTGCTCTAGTATATTAATCAAACTCAAGGAAAGGGGTTGTGGGAACCCCAACTTACAGTCAGTCAAAGCACTGGTAGAACAACCTGTGGCTTGCAATTGGCACTGGATGTGGGGGGCAGTCTTGTGGGACCAAGCCCTCAACCTGTGGGATCTGACGCTAACTCCAGGTAGACAGTGTCAGAACTGAACTTCAGGTAGATTCCAGAACTCCAGAACGGAATTGGAGGAGACTCAACTGGTGTCTGCTGCAGAATCGATTGCTTGCTTGATGTATGGGGAAAAAAATCCCACATATCTGGTGTCAGAAGCATGTTGTTAGAGTATGGGAAAAACTGTTTTTTTCTACTGATATAATAGTCCATTGAGGAAAAACATTATGGACCTATTTTTAAAGTAGGCACTGAGCTTGCATTGTGGGCCATTTTGACTCAGGTGGTCTGGCCTTTTGGTCTTTCCCAATTCTGTAAAGCAGCAGAACCATGAGGTGCAAATACGTTCTATTCTGGCAAGATCCCTATTGTAGTCTCTGCATTACTTTCAGGGGATCTGTAATAGACACTGTTGGTACCCTGTACTTCACCCCATGGCTCCTTTCCGATTTTAGGTGTAGCTGTGGTGAACAATTCTCAGGGGCACTGATAGCTGGCCACCAGAAACACACACCATGTCTCTTAGCTTTTTGTAGTATTAAGTGTGCGGGCAGTTAATATTCCAATAGTAAGCCTTCAGCCAAGAGATCTAGATGGCATCAGGTAAATACTGAGCCTCAAAGAGACAATTCTGAGGTGCACTCCACACTTTACGCAGGTTGCAGGCGGGATTGAGCCTAAATTGCCCACAGTGGTAACACCTCAACAACACTATTTACTGGCTTTCCCTTCTCTGTTCTACTCTCTCCACTTCCTCATTCCAGCTTCTTAGCATCACTTCCTAATAAACTACCTGCATCCAAGCCTCAAGCTCTATTTTTGGGGAAATATAAATTAAGGCAGTGATATGGTTAGGCTTTGTGTCCCCACCCAAATCTCATCTTGAATTGTAATCCCCATAATCCCCACGTGTCAAAGAAGAGACCAGGTGGAGGTAATTGAATCATGGGGACGGTTTCCCCCATACTGTTTTTGTGATAGTGAGTGAGTTCTCAGGAGATCTGATGGTTTTATAAGGACTCTTCCCCCTTTGCTTGGCACTTCTCCGTCCTGCTGCTTTGTGAAGAAGCTGCCTTGCTCCCCCTTCACCTTCCACCATGGTTGTAAGTTTCCTGAGGCCTCCCCAGCCATGCTGAACTGTTAGTCAATTAAACCCCTTTCCTTTACAAATTACTTAGTCTTGGGCAGTTCTTTATAGCAGTATGAAAACGGATGAATACAGGCAGGATCTAAAAATACTTTAGTTCATGGCATTTATTCACTCAAAAACATTTACTAAGTTATTATAATGGACCAGGCAGTGTATTAGATACTGGAAATACAATGGTGAACAAGAGATCAAGTTCGATGGGGTGCAAAGATTAACAGACAATACTTCAATAGTGTGGTGAGTATTACAACAAAGTAAATGTGGGTGCTATTAGTTGTTAAGTATGGCCAGGTTGAGGACCCCTTAATTTCCCCCTGCAAAAATTACACTTGCTAGATATTGACAGGAAGTGAAGCACATAGGACAAAGTCAGGCAAAAGCATCTGTAGCTTAGATTTAGTGTCCAACTCCTAGGCTTTAGTTTGGGATTGAGGTAAACCCACATATCATGCCTCAGTTCTCCCTTTCTCTGGGCCACATTCATTTGGCCTTGCTAGAGGCTTCCAAAGAAGGAAGCTCCATGTTGATCTTATTGTATGAAACCAGCGGTGTTTCATAAAAACCCATGCCTGGCCGGGCGCAGTGGCTCATGCCTGTAATCCCAGCACTTTGGGAGGCCGAGGCTGGTGGATCACGAGGTCAGGAGATCGAGATCATCTTGGCAAACACAGTGAAACCCCATCGCTACTAAAAATAAAAAAAAATTAGCCGGGCATTGTGGCGGGCACCTGTAGTCCCAGCTACTCGGGAGGCTGAGGCAGGAGACTGGTGTGAACCCGGGAGGCGGAGCTTGCAGTGAGCCAAGATTGCACCACTGCACTCCAGCTGGAGCTACAGAGTGAGAGTCCGTCTCAAAAAAAAAAAAAAGCCCATGCCTGAAAAAAAGGAACCATTCCCTATGCTCCCCCAAATCCCAAAAGAGAACACATTCTGCCTGCAAAGCCAGAACTTAATCCATCATGACCCGAAAACTCTATTTCTTTGTACTGTAGCCTTAGACCCTTGACCAGACCCCTCCACAATCCTCCTTGGTGCTACATTAAAGCGGGTAGACCCAAGTTCAATAAAGGGTAGAATGCAAAACTCATAATTTTCCCACCTTCTTTTCTCTTTACTTTTTTTTTTCTGTCATATCCCTAAGTTTTCTGCTTGAGGGACTTAGTACACTGGTATGTCTAATGAAAACTGTTCTGAGGCTTTCTTACCTAAAACTCACTGTTTTGAGTAGACTCTGCCAAATTGGTCCTGGCTTCTGGCAAGTAGTTTCTTTGTATCTTTCCATCAGTGGGGAGCTTGGGCCCTGAATTCTGAATTGGGCTACTCATGCTCCCGGAGTTGCAGCCAGCCTTTCTCCTAGGTTATATAACAGGGCTAAGGACAGGGTTAAATTCCATCCAGTTTTTAACACCTCATATTTGAGAACTGGTGCTATCAAGAATTTATATGCACTCCAATAGCTTCCTTAATTTTTCCTGTCTCAGCATGTAACTTACTATTTACTTACTTTTCTCTTCTACCAGACCCTAAACTCTTTGAGGACAGAAATACTGCGCTATTTACCACTATATTTCCAGGGTCTAGTATAGTACTTAATGAATGTTAGTTAACTGAATGAAGTCCTGTATCAGGTAAGACTTTGAACTGCTAATGAAAGCAAACCTAATGAAAAACCAGCCACACCCCCAAAAAAATTCCAGCACATTTTTAGCTCATGTAACTGCAAAGTCCAAGGCTCAAGTCATGCTATATTCTAAGGAACTTGTCTTTTTCAATATTTTTGCTCTCCTCTCTGCTGTGCTTGGCTTCATTCTCAGGTAGGCCTTCTTTAGATGGAGTGCCCTGGTATACCAAATGCAATTTCTAATTCTGGTTGGGCCCGATTGTCTTGGTTTGATTCATGAGCCTATCCCTAAATCAGTTACAGAAGCCAGAGGAGTGTGCTGCTTTGCTTGGTGAGGCCCAGGTCAAAAGACCCTTGAAACTGAGGGTGGTGGAGTGAGCTCCCCAGAAGTATAGTGGATTGACACCTGTGTGTGTGTGTGTGTGTGTGTGTGTGTGTGTGTGTGTGTAGGGGGTGGTATAGGGAGCATGGATGCTAGTCAGCTGAAGCAATTCCACTGTCACTCCCATTGCTGCGTTCCATATCTTTTCCTGACATTGAAACCCTGTGGGGCAGGGATACCAGCCAACATGACTTGGTCTGTGACTGCCAGCTCTTCCCCAGAGGTAGGGGGTCACCCTTCCTGCTTAGAGTGTTCCCCAGACTCTGAATTACCCTGCTTACAGCGTGATCCTGCTTGTCCTCTTCCTGCTCTAAATGTTTCCAGTAAGCTGCAGAGTACATGCAAAGTCCTTTCAGACACTTTGGCAACTAGTGAGTCATGTATACAAAGAACTATTCAAAGCAAAATGTGGCCAGTTCTCTAAGAGAGTAGTGAAAAGATGTTTGGAGAACAGAGATAAAGGCATGCAACATCTGGCTGGGAGTATGAGAGCAGACAACCAATTCAGGGACTATCAAACACCCAGGACAAGCTTAAGTATAGGATGAATAATGACAGTAACAGTGATAATAATAACAACAGCTGACACACATCGTACTTACCATGAACCAGGCCCTGTTCTAAGAACTTTATATTAATCAATTCAATAAATCTTCACAACACCCTTTCAAGTAGATATAATTATTTTCCTCCTTTTAGAGATGAAGTTAAGTAGCTTGCCTAAGGTTACAGAGTAAGAAAGTGGCAAAATAAGTCTGGGTTCCTATCACAGAGGGTCTTAAAAGCCAGGTACAGTGATAGCCTTGACTTACAGTCTGTGAGTACCTGGTTCATCTTTCCCAATGGACTCAAACATTCTGAGAGCAGGTCTGTGTCTAGTTCACCTTCGTGTTTTTTAGAACACCTAGGTGGGCTCTATACTTAGGTAGAAGCCAAATATCTGTCCTCTTTGAATAGACTATCTTTTCCTTTAGTAAACAAGCATCTGAAAACAGTGTGTTACTGGAGGGCGCCTTGGCAAGAGCCTGTGGTACTAGCTACTCCTCCAGAGGCTGAGGCAAGAGGATTGCTTGAGCCTAGGAGTTTTAGGCTGCAGTGCCCTATGCATTCCATGCTTGAGCAACACAGGGGGATTCTGTCTAAAATAAATAAATCAATAAATAAAAGCAGTGTGTTACTGCAATGAGCATTGTTATATAAATACACAGTCTTCCACAGAAGTTACAGCACTAGACAGGAAGTTATGGATCTGACTAATTGAGGCTTTCACCTCTGACTCAGTGTGTGACTCTGGCAAGTGACCTAATGGCTCCAAGCTACAGATTTTCCAATGGTAAAAGAGAGGAAAACAGGTATCCAACATATTCCACCAGGACATACTGAGAATATAATAATAACAATAAATAAATACACATTTTAAGTTCTTGCAATACTTAAGAGGAAAGGTACTACAAGAAACCAAGATATTTTTCTTAGTGTCACCATAATTTCAGTATCAACAGATATGCATTAGGAGCCAAATATTCTAGACATTATGGGATTACAACAGAACAGATGAAAACAAATCTCTGCTAGTCTCTGTTTTATAGGCTATTATGGACAAGGTCAGTTTCAGTGGTCAACACAGAGCTTATTTAACAGAACATCAAAATGGGGGTGAACGTTAGAGCTCACCTGGATTTTATATATATATATATATATATATATATATATATATATATATATATATATATGTATGTATGAGAGACAGAGAGAGATCCAAAAGGGGTTAATAATACGGAAACAACTGTCCTCAAAGAAAAGAACCGGCTCTGGGTTTGAGTCTCAGTGGAAGAGTTTACCATCTGTGCGACCTGGGGCCAGTCACTTAGCTTTTCCAAGCCAATTTCCTTCCCTCTAAAATAGTGATAGTAACGATCTACTTCAAAGCGCTCGTGCTTGAAAAACTTTAATCCAGTGGCTGGCTAAGCACCAGAAGTCAACTATTACTATTGTTATCGCTGCAGGAGCAAGGTATTTTCTGGCTCTTTCTCTATAAGAAAAACCACTGTTTCTCCAGTTAGGCTGCATTCATGAGGCCGAAGCAGAAACCCAAGTGCTTTAAAAAGCTCGGAGACCGGTGCTGCAGAAACATGAACCCAGTCATCCAGGGCTTTGGTTAAAGCACAGCCCCCTCGGCAAAGCCCACCTTTCATTTCCTTCCCTTCCATTTCGGGAAAGCCAAGCTCCCCCTACGCGTTCGGTTATCTTATTTTCTTGCCTCGCCAGGTCGCTGGCCTGTCTCTGGCTTCTCTCCGCGACCTCTCGGTCGTGCAGGCTCCGCGGCAGCGAAGCGGCTGGGGCTGGCGCCTCGCTTCCTCAGCGCTCCATTCTTCCCCTCGGCTCCCGCCGGCCGCAGCCGCCTTCCGCAGCCGGGGTTCCCGCCGGGATTGACGCGCTGGGGGAGGAGCGGTTTCTCGTTGCGCGCCTCTAAGGAACATTACGGCAGGGCTCGTTCCTGGCTCCGGCCGCCAGCCCCAGCCTCCCAGGTCCGGAGCCCGGACTGGCGGAGGCCGCGAGGGAGGGAGCACGAGCGAGGAGGCACGCGCCCGCCGGTCCGCACCCGGCCCGCCGCAGCCGCCGCCGCCGTCGCCGTCGCCGCAGCAGCCATGGCCGAGCGCCGCGCCTTCGCCCAGAAGATCAGCAGGTAAATATCCGGCGTGGGGCGCGCCGCCGCCGCCGCCCGAGAAAGAGCCGCGGAGTCCTCCCAGGCCTGGCCTAGGAGGCGGGTGGGTGTGGCGGGGCCGGCACCGGGATCCCGCGGCCTGGCTCGCGGCGGGGCGGAAGGGGTTCGGGGTGGCTGAGGGGGTAGCGGAGGCCTCGCGCCGCCCTCGAACCCCGGCCTTCAGCCCGCGCCCGCCGCTGAGCCTCGGCAGGGAGCGGAGAGGGCCGCGGACTCCAGCGCGCCCGCCTCCTCCTGCTCCTCGGCGGCCCGGGCCTGGACTTCTGCGGAGGTTTATGGAAGGGCGGTCGGCCGCTTCCCAAATTCTTTGTGTTCCCACCCCCGGGCTCGTCGGGGGCCGCCGCGGCGTTTCGCCCCCTCCCGTCTCTCCGCCCACCCCTCTTGGCCCCTAGAGGGTGCGGGGTCCGCCCTCCTCCACCCCAACAAAAGGAGAAACGCGCGGCGGCTCGGGGCGGGTGGGAGGCCGCCCCTCCTTCACGCGTCTCTCTCTTCCTGAGAAATCTGACAGGAACCCTCTTTGCACCCTCGGGCCAGGTTCAAAGTGGACTTGTGCGTCCAGGATTGAAAACGTGTGGACAGAATGAAAAGTTGAGAGCTGCGGGCTGCACCTTCGGTGTGCAGCTGCCGAATCCCTGACGGATTGCAGGCTGAAGCTTGTTCTGAGTTCGCCTGTGAATTTAACTGTGCGCCTGTGTTTCTCAGAGCACCCGAGAAGATGGATGATAGGCAGTGTTCTTTATACACTGACATCCTTTTATATGTTAGCAGTCTTGAAGTAAAGCAAGTGATTGCAGTCTTGAAGTAAAGCAAGTGATTGAGGTGGAGGTTTCAAAGCCTTTCACCTACTTGTGGTGGTTGGTTGCCACCTTTCTCCCACCCGCCAAATAAAAATTAAATGACAGAGGACTCTAATATTTGTAGAATTTCTTTGTGGAGTATACTTATGTATGAGACAGTAGACATTTTTGTTTTAATAAAATCATATTTGTGTGAATTATGATGTCCCAAGAAAAGAAGCATTCATATTAAATTACCTTTTTTTGTTTTGGGGCAGTTGTAGTTCTGTGGCTCTGAGTCTTTTTAGTTTGCTGACATTTCTTTAAAAATTTTGGGCCGGATGCAGTGGCTCAGGCCTGTAATCCCAGCAGTTTGGGAGGCCGAGGCAGGAGGATCGCTTGAGGCCAGGAGTTCAAGACCAGCCTGGGCAACATAGCGAGTCCCCCCCACCCCATCTCTGCAAAAAAATTAGCCAGGTGTGGTGTTGCACCTGTCGTCCTAGCTGCTTTCGAGGCAGAGGCTTTTTTTTTTCTTTCTTTCCAGCGTTCTAGCACTTTTTTTTTCCTGAAGGGGCAAAATAGCAAGTGTTTAAGAGCATGGGCTCTACTCTCAGACCCCGACATGGGTTCAAATCCTGATTGGTATTTTCTAGCTTGGGACTTTGGCCAAGTTGTTGGGCCAAATTTCCGTTTCCTCGTCTGGCAAATGAGAATAATAATAGGACCCAGCTCATAGTGTTGTTGTGAACATTAAGTGGCATAATTTGTGTAATGTGCGTAGGATAGTACAGGGCCTATACTACCTGTCATCAAACACTTGTAGTAATTAGTTTCTCCCAGGGAGTTATGATGACAGGAAATTTTTTTTTTTTGTAAAATAATTAGGTCTTACTTCTGATGATGATGTCATTAAAAAATGTTATTACTGGCCGGGCGCGGTGGCTCACGCCTGTAATCCCAGCACTTTGGGAGGCCGAGGCGGGTGGATCATGAGGTCAGGAGATCGAGACCATCCTGGCTAACAAGGTGAAACCCCGTCTCTACTAAAAAAAAAAAATACAAAAAATTAGCCGGGCGCGGTGGCGGGCGCCTGTAGTCCCAGCTACTCGGGAGGCTGAGGCAGGAGAATGGCGTGAACCCGGGAAGCGGAGCTTGCAGTGAGCCGAGATTGCGCCACTGCAGTCCGCAGTCCGGCCTGGGCGACAGAGCGAGACTCCGTCTCAAAAAAAAAAAAAAAAAAAAAAAAAAAAAAAAAAAGTTATTACTTGACATGTATTCCTAGTTTTAATTTCTCTTATTAGAACCAGAAGTTTATCTCTGAAAACATCATGCTGATAAAGTAAGTGCACTTTAGAGAGTTGGATATGAAATTGTATGTCTATTAGTGGAGTTCGCCACCAGATGGGATAGGACAAACCACAAGAGAAAAAGAGAATCAGTTGTGCAAAACAACACAAAATGCAAATAAGAACAGCTTTCTAAGAAGTTATAAAATTAAGATAATGTGAATGAAGAAATGTGCACTTATTGGACAGACAGGAGGTGGATATGGTAGTGATTGGTGATTGGACATGCAAGGTGAGGCGGACTGAGGAGTCTGGGATGACATCCTAAGTTGGGCAACCACGTGGATGATGGTGGCAGTCTTTGGGGTAAGGGAGTACAGGAGGAAAAAGGAGTTTGAGATTGGGAGATGCAAGTGGGATGGAGATGATGATTCAGTTTTGGACATGTTAATTTTGAGGGGCTCATGAATCATTCAGAGAGAAATATCTATTTGGTTTTTGGTGCAGGTTGAAGGTGCAGAAGAGAGATTGGGCTGGAGATCTAGATTTGAGAGTTATCAGCAAGTAGATTGCATTTGGAGCCCGGGGGTGGGTGGGGGTTGATGAGATTGTCCAGTGAGAATGTGCAGACTTAACTTGGAAGGAATACCAAAGACAGAACTGCTATGAGTAATGCATTATTAACTGCTTATTGTGAATGAAAGGTTCTTCCTTGTTATCAAATATGATTGAATAATACTTAATACTTCTGAATCAATTCGTGTTCTGCTTTTTAACTTTTCTATTAGAGGAAGTATAGCACAAATTCTGGAGATGAAGTTCCTGGGTTTGACACCCCAGCACAGCCACTCGTTGAGTAAACATGGCCAAGTTACTTGACCACACTTCTGCCTCGTTTTCCCTATCTAGAAAATGAGGATGATGGTAAGACTTAACCTCGTAGGGTTGTTGTGGGGATTAAATGAATTGTTACCTCTAAAGTGCTTAGAACAGTGCTCTAAGTGCCTAGTAAGTATCAACTGTTTTTTACTACAGTATTTATAATGTGGTTTGAGGCTTTTGTTGGAAATGATAATCCTTTTCCTAGTGTTCGTATATGAAATTTGTTGCTCTGTGAAAAGCCTGTTGCTGTTTGAAACCTTATTTCTTTTCAAAGCTTTGTGATTGTTCAGAAACCTATACTTTAAAAAGAATTATAATGATCTTGTTTCTGTCGCAGTTATTTTTTAGCCCCTTGCATTTAGTGCAGTTATTTTTTGAGGCTGTGATTTGGTGATTTCTGAAGGCTCTTTATTCTTATTATCACTAATTATACTGTTTACTTCAGCTCACCATAGAAAAGCAGCATGTATATCTTGTCCATATCAAGTAGTTGTCTTTGTACATGTGTGTCCCCTTTGCTTTTTGAGGATAAGGCCCATGGATTTATGGAATGTAGACTGTAGACAAATTGTCTAGGATTTTGTTGGGATTATTTTGTCCTGTTGCTTGATACTCAGCAGTAATGATGAACATTTGTGTACACTTAAAGCACTTTTTACTGCATTCTCATCTTCATAACCCAGAGAGGCAGAAAATGTACTAAAGAATATAGGATCTGGGATCAGATTGCACAGGTTGAAATTCTGCATATACCACAGAAAAATGGGGATAACAGCCTCAATAAAGTTAATGTGAGGATTAAATGAGTTAATACATGTGTAAGTGAGCTAATACAGTTCTAATAATGCATTAGTAGTACTGTGTCAGGAACATAAGCATTCAAAAATGTTAGCCACTGCTATTATGATTTCCATATTACTTACTGTTGTTATCATTTTCTAGATGAGGAATTGAGGCCTAAAAACAGCAACTGTATTTGCCTAAATTGGGACTCAAATCCTAGTTCTCTGATTTCAGATTTTTTTTTTTTTTTTAAGATGGAGTTTTGCTCTTTCGCCCAGGCTGGAGTGAAGTGGCGCAATCGGCTCACTGCAACCTCCACCCCACTGCCCCGGGTTCAGGCGATTCTCCTGTCCTCGTCACCACGCCCAGCTAATTTTTGTATTTTTAGTAGTGACGGGATTTCACCATGTTGGCCAGACTGGTCTCGAACTCCTGACCTCAGGTGATTCACCCGCCTTGGCCTCCCAAAGTGCTAGGATTACAGGCGTAAGCCACCTCGCTCAGCCTGATTTCAGATCTTATGCTTTTTTTTTTCTTGAGATAGGGTCTCGCTCTGTTGCCCAGGCTGGAGCGCAGTGGTACAGTCTTGGCTCACTGAAGTCTCTGCCCCCAGGTTTAAGCGATTCTCCCACCTCAGCCTCCCAAGTAGCTGGGACTATGGGCACTGTGCCTGGCTAATTTTTGCACTTTTTGTAGAGACGGGTTTTCGCCATGTTGCCCAGGCTGGTCTCGAACTCCGGGGCTAAAGGGATCTGCCCACCTCGGCCTCCCAAAGTGCTGGGATTACAGGCATGAGCTACCTGGCCTACTCTTTTTATTTGACTATATTTTCTTTCTGCAGAATATTTTCTGTGGTAGTTCCAGGTTTCCTAACAGTGTCACTGCTACTATCCCTAAAGTTATGCCAGCTTTCTTAGTCCTTCTTTTGTTAACCGGGTATCCTTTTGCTGCATAAGTAGCATAATTTAATGAAAGGTTTCCATCAGATCTTTATTTCTGAGGGAAAATCTTACATGAGTGGGATTTCCTGGATATCGACTTATTTAACACCTCAGATGTTTTTAGTCTTGTATGTGTTATTAACTCTGGGCAGATGGGCCCAGTCTTTCAATCTACAGAATCTACTTTGTTCAATTCATAGTTCCATATATTACCAACTACTTCCGTGCTGCCTGTTTTATCTTGCGGAACACATATACTTCCCTGATCTTTTGTTGTACTCATCTCACTAATTCTTAATGCTGAATATCTAACCTGCTTCTTGCTCCTAAGCTGCAAAATAGTGTTAAAGAGAGACTAGAACATTCCAGAGTTGATCTTTATGTCTTAATATCTTGCCATTTGAGATGAGGTTTACCTTAGGTCATTTCTCTTATTTAACAATTTTGTTTCTCTACCTCATCTTACTGAAAAGTTTGGGACTACCATTAGTCCTTCATTTTAACCTTAGCATACTACTCTCTCAATAGGTGACTTAACCATCTTTCCCTTGAGCCTGAAAGGTCTCTTGTTCCTAAAGCTTACCTATTTTATTGTACTTTGAAATTCTCTCTTGCCACCTCTCTCAGAGTCTTGATCCCACAACTTTCCCTGTTCTAACATCTTCAATCTACTCCCTTTTTGTGGACCTTTCCCTTAAACCATAAGACTTACTATGTCTTTCTCATCCTAAAACAAAGATCTATTGAGTGTTCTGGCATTTTCAGCTGCCAACCAAACATTCCTTTCCTTGTCACATTTCTCCCATGTATGTGGTATAGTCATGGCTACTTCCTGCTTATTCTCTTCCTCATCAATCCTTGGGCTATATAGTTGTGCTTACCTTATGTGTACTTGAATTATAGGGCTCTTGAGGGCTAGGAAACTTTGACTTTTTTCTTTTCTTCATCACTGATTTCATGAGCTGTTTTTTTAAAAAGTTACATTTCTTATGTCCCTCCACCCCCTTCCCTGTTTTTATACTGCTTTTCAGAGCTCTTTGATGGCAGGTCTGGTTTTGACTTTTTATTTCCAGTGCTTCACACAGATCCCATGGATATCTGACACATAAAGTGTTTAAATGAATGCCACCAAGCTGCGTTGGACATCCTTTATTATTTCACTTCTAGGTGACCATAGAAAGCTACTAGCTGATCTAGTCCCTCCCTCCTCTAATTCAAGTGTGTTGCAAATTAAGTCTCCCTAAAACACAGCTTTCATCATGGGATTGTGCAGTTCAAGAATATAAGTGGCTTCTTACAGTGTTAAAGCCAAACCCTTGCTTGGATTTTAAGGTTAACTGTGACCTGGTCCTCCTTTTGTTGACTTGTTCTCTAGTTTACATATTGTCCTCCAGTCAGTCTGGTGTTTTCACTGTACCTCCACAAATGCTATGCTTGTTTCCATCTCTGTAACTGTTCTGCTGTTTTTTTTTTTTCTTTTAGATACATTCTTCCTTTTCTTTCCTAAATCTTACCCCTTCTTAAGACTACTCCAGTCCACCATTCTGACTTTTGGGATAACCATTTCCTTCCTTTCTTTAATGTTACCATCTGTGAATGCATTACTAAGCAAAATGTTTTCTTCTCTTTTTGAAGTCATTCGGGTGGAATCGTATTGTGTGTATGCTTTGCTGTCTTGCTTCTTTGCACAAAATTATAATTTGTGAGATTAATTCATGATATTCTGAGTAGTTGAAGTTCATTCATTTTCATTGCTTTGTAGTATTTCATTCCATAAATATACCACAATCAATCCATTCTATAGTAGGTGAACATTTGGATTGTTTCCAGTTTTTTACTATTACAAACGTTTCCATGAACACTCCTATACAAATTTTCAGGTATACATATGCATGAGTTTCTCTAGGGTATAGCCACCCTTGCAATTTCTGGGTCATAGATGGCAATCTTTTTTTTTTTGTATTTTTATTTTATTTTTTTTATTTTTTATTATACTTTAAGTTCTACGGTACATGTGCATAACGTGCAGGTTTGTTACATATGTATACATGCGCCATGTTGGTGTGCTGCACCCATTAACTCGTCATTTACAGTAGGTATATCTCCTAATGCTATCCCTCCCCCCTCCCCCCACCCCACGACAGGCCCTGGTGTGTGATGTTCCCCTTCCAGTGTCCAAATGTTCTCATTGTTCAATTCCCACCTATGAGTGAGAACATGTGGTGTTTGGTTTTCTGTCCTTGTGATAGTTTGCTGAGAATGATGGTTTCCAGCTTCATCCATGTCCCTACAAAGGACATGAACTCATCCTTTTTTATGGCTGCATAGTATTCCATGGTGTATATGTGCCACATTTTCTTCATCCAGTCTATCATTGATGGACATTTGGGTTGGTTCCAAGTCTTTGCTATTGTGAATAGTGCCGCAGTAAACATATGTGTGCATGTGTCTTTATAGCAGAATGATTTATAATCCTTTGGGTATATACCCAGTAATGGGATGGCTGGGTCAAATGGTATTTCTAATTCTATATCCTTGAGGAATCGCCACACTGTCTTCCACAATGGTTGAATTAGTTTACAGTCCCACCAACACTGTAAAAGTGTTCCTATTTCTCCACATCCTCTCCAGCACCTGTTGTTTCCTGACTTTTTAATGATCGCCATTCTAACTGGTGTGAGATGGTGTCTCATTGTGGTTTTGATTTGCATTTCTCTGATGGCCAGTGATGATGAGCATTTTTTCATGTGTCTTTTGGCTGCATAAATGTCTTCTTTTGAGAAGTGTCTGTTCATATCCTTTGCCCACTTTTTGATGGGGTTGTTTTTTTCTTGTAAATTTGTTTGAGTTCATTGTAGATTCTGGATATTAGCCCTTTGTCAGATGAGTAGATTGCAAAAATTTTCTCCCGTTTTGTAGGTTGCCTGTTCACTCTGATGGTAGTGTCTTTTGCTGTGCAGAAGCTCTTTAGTTTAATTAGATCCCATTTGTCAATTTTGGCTTTTGTTGCCATTGCTTTTGGTGTTTTAGACATGAAGTCCTTGCCCATGCCTATGTCCTGAATGGTATTGCCTAGGTTTTCTTCTAGGGTTTTTATGGTTTTAGGTTTAACATGTAAGTCTTTAATCCATCTTGAATTCAGTTTTGTATAAGGTGTAAGGAAGGGATCCAGTTTCAGCTTTCTACATATGGCTAGCCAGGTTTCCCGACACCATTTATTAAATAGGGAATCCTTTCCCCATTTCTTGTTTTTGTCAGGTTTGTCAAAGATCAGATGGTTGTAGATGAGTGGTATTATTTCTGAGGGCTCTGTTCTGTTCCATTGGTCTATATTTCTGTTTTGGTACCAGTACCATGCTGTTTTGGTTACTGTAGCCTTGTAGTACAGTTTGAAGTCAGGTAGCATGATGCCTCCAGCTTTGTTCTTTTGGCTTAGGATTGACTTGGCAATGTGGGCCCTTTTTTGGTTCCACATGAACTTTAAAGTAGTTTTTTCCAATTCTCTGAAGAAAGTCATTGGTAGCTTGATGGGGATGGCATTGAATCTATAAATTACCTTGGGCAGTATGGCCATTTTCACGATATTGATTCTTCCTATCCATGAGCATGGAATATTCTTCCATTTGTTTGTGTCCTCTTTTATTTCGTTGAGCAGTGGTTTGTAGTTCTCCTTGAAGAGGTCCTTCACATCCCTTGTAAGTTGGATTCCTAAGTATTTTATTCTCTTTGAAGCAATTGTGAATGGGAGTTCACTCATAGATGGCAATCTTTATTGCTACAGCAATGTTTATTAGGTAGTGTCAAACTGTTTTCTAAAGTGGTTGTAGAAATTTACAGTCTCACAACAATGTTGCTTTACATCAATGCCATTGCTTTGTATGGCCAACTTTTTCATTTTTACCACAATCTGGTGGATGCACAATGCCATCTCATTGTAAGTTTTAATTTTCATTTTATTACTAATGAGGTTGAGCTCTGTTTTGTATGTTTATTGATGATTTGAATTTCTTCTTATGTAAATTGCTTATTTAAATATTTTGCTGTTATCCCCCTCCTCCATTGTTTTTTCCCTTTGGGTTTTTTAGGAATTGATTTTGTGTGAGTACTTTACATACAGTCTGTGTATTAGTTGTTTATTGATTATATGTGTAGCAAATACCTTTTCCCACCCTGTGGCTTGTTTTTCATAGTTTTAATGGAATCTTATGAAAGCTGTATGTTCTCAGTTTTAATGCAGTTTAACTTACCAGTCTTTTTTAATGGTTATTGGTTTATGGGTCGTAAGAAATATTTTATTACCCTGAGATATTAAGATATTCATCCATATTATCATGAATTTGTAGTTACCCCCTTTTTATTTAGGTTTATATTCCACCTTGTCTTGATATGTGTATGGTGTGAAATTTTAATTTTTTTCTAAATGGATTGTCCTTTCCCCATTAATCTGCCCTGCCGCCTCTATTGTAGATTAAAAAAATTAATTTTAATATTTGTGGGTACATAGTATGCATATGTATTTATGGGGTACATAAGATATTTTGATACAGGCATCAATGTGTAAGAATCACATCAGGGTAAATGGGGTATCTATCATGTCAAGCATTTATCTTGTGTAACAATCCAATTCTTTTAGTTATTTTTAAAATGTACATTGAAATTATCTGTTGTAGATGATATATCCTTATTTGTGGGTCTTTTTCTGGGATCTCTGTTTTGTTCCATTGGTCTGGTTATACAGTATTTTTTTTACAAATTATAAATAATCTTAGGTATAATCAGTCTTGGCATTTGGTAGAGTAACTCCTTCCACCTTTAAAAAAAAATCTTGACTGCTCTTAGCCCTTTGAATTTCCACGTAAATTTTAGAATCTACCAAAGACAAAACAAAACTCCCTGAACCCAAAACTCATAGAATTTGATTGGGATTGCATTGAATCTATATGTTAATTCAGGGGAGAAATGACATCCTTATAATATTGAGTTTCCAATCCATGATCCATAGTGTATTTCTCCATTTATTTAGGTCTTCTTTATGTTGTACAATGAAATTTTATAATTTGCTCTGTCAGGTTCTTGCATATCTTTTGTTAGATTTATTCCTGGGTATATAACAATTTTGTATCCAGCTATACCTTGCTAAACTCTTGTTTATTCTGAATGTACTTGTGAATTCCTTTATATTTTCTGTGTAGACAACCATATGATCTGGAAATCATTATTTTTTTTGTTTCTTCCTTTTCAATCCTTATAACTGACTTACTATTTTTTATCTTGCTCTGTAGACTATTATTTTGTATTACTGTGTAGATTGATACCATTGCTATTCAACATTGTATTAATGTTGAACATTCTTACATTTTTATTTTTCTGTTTTTTAGTTTTTATTTACTTTTTTGAGGTGGACTCTTGCTCTGTTGTCCAGGATGGAGCACAATGGCGTCATCATAGCTCACTATAACCTTGAACTCCTGGGCTCAAGCTGTCCTCTCACCTCAGCCTCCTGAGTAGCTAGAACTACAGGTGTGCACCACCATGTCTGGCTAATTTTTAAATTTATTTTAGAGGTGGGGTCTTGCTATGTTGCCCAGGCTGGAGAACTCCTGGCCTCAAGCGATCCTCCCACCTTGGCCTCCCAAAATGCTGGGATTACAGGCATGAGCCTCTGTGCCTGGCCTTCCTTGTTTTATTTATGATCTCAAAGGGAAAGCATTCTGTGTTTCACTGGTCTAATGATAGCTGACAGCTTTTTGTAGATATCCTTTTAGTTTGGGTTTCCTAGAAAACAGAGCCTGTTATAAGAATTAAGAATTGATGCTTTATTTGGGGCTTTTCTTCTTCATTCCAGTCAATTCAATTTCTTCAGAGTTAACTCCCTTTTATTTTGGGGTTGCATCATTTGGACCCCCTTGGCAGATACTCTGGATATATCACTGCTTTTTCGGTGGCTTTTTACATGGGAATTTTTTTTTTTTATTTGCTGGGGTTGCAAGTGACAGATCAGATTATTTTGCACACACACAAAGTGTTGACTCCTGTAACTGAGTGTATTGGGTCCAGGGATAATGTCAGCAGCCTCTTATCTTCGTATCTTGGATAGGTTTTCCACAAAATGGCCACTATGAGATTTGACAGCCCCAGGCTCAAATCCTCCCAGTTTAGTTGTGGCAGAAAAGATCCAAGGACTCAGTTATTGGTGTGGGCTGGGTCACATGTCCTTCCTTGAACCAATTACTATGTTTAGGGGTATAGGAGAGTCTGACCACTGTGGGTCACATGCCCTTCTCTATGGCTTGGGAGAAAGATGTGTTAGCCCCACCCAAATCTTACAGAATTAGTTCCTTACCAAAGAAGGGTTTCTAACCTAAAGAATGAGGATAAGAGTACTGTTCATAGCAAAACAGCTGATGTTCTTTAAAATTAGTCATTTTTTAGTGGTTTAGTCATTTATAGTGGTTCCACATGACTATAATTACTTAAATATGTGGCAGTATAGACAGCTCTCCTATCTGCAGTTTAAATGGAACTGGTGAAATGCAAAGACATTCAAGGAAAACCAGTGTAACCTGATGCTAGCTAGCTGTGGCTTCCCTGTCCCTTAACTTTTTACAGTTTAGCCTAGATCTTAGTACCAACTCATAGCCCTCCCAAGGATGTCTTCCTGGTTTTTCTTTTTGACTTTTGTCATTCTCATTTTTTCCTTCTGCATCTGTATGCTTGCATCATCATGGGCTGTTCCTGGTTTGCCCTGTGACACCAGAAAACAGAACTAACTCCTTCATTCATATCAACCATTTAATAATTTTCATAATTGCTAATGTTACAGGATCGTGGTACGGAGTCTCAGGGTGCAAAATTTTCTTAGTGACTGCATTCAGCTCTCCTTTTTCTGCCATCATCATTCTTTCTCTTACAAATAAACAGTTTCTTCCACTTATCTTTGCAGAGCAGTTCCAACCCAGATCCTTAGAAAAAAAAACCCAGCTTTATTGAGGTATACTTTATGTATCATAAAATTCATTCATTTTAAGTGTACAATTAAATGATTTTTAGTAAATTAACAGCTGTGAAACCATCATCCACAATCTAGTTTTAGAACGTTTCCATCACCCAAAAAATTCCTTGTGCCAGTTTGCAGTCATTCCCTATTTTGACCCCAAGCCCTGGGCATAACTAATCTTTTTGTATCAATCTCTCAATTTGCCTTTTCTGAAAATTTCACATAAAGAGAATCATGCAATATGTGGCCTTTTATATCTGGTGGCTTTCATTTAGCATAATGTTTTTATGGTTCATCTGTGCATATATCAGTACTTCACTCCTTTTATGGCTGACTAATATTCCATTGTATGTAGCACATTTTGTTTATCCATTCATCAGCTGATGGACATTTACGTTGTTTCTACCTTTTGGCTTTTGTGAATAGTGCCAATAGGAATAAAACTTTTGTTTGAAGGCTTGTTTTCAATTCTTGTGGGTATATACCTATCTAGGAGTGGAATTGCTAGGTCATAGTGTAATTTTGTGTTTAGCTTTTTGAGGATCTGCGAAACTGTTCCACAATGACTGCCATTTTACATTCCTATTAGCGATGTATGAGGGTTCTAATTTCTCCATATGCTTGCTAACACTTGTTATTGTCCTCTTTGATTATAGACATTCTGGTGAGTGTGAAGTGGTATTTCATTGTGATTTAAATTTGTGTTTTCCTAATGACTAGTGCCTTTTTTTTTTCTTCTTTGAGATGGAGTCTCGCACTGTCGCCCAGGCTGGAGTACAGTGGCGCGATCTCGGCTCATTGCAAGCTCCACTTCCCGGGTTCACACCATTCTCCTGCCTCAGCCTCCTGAGTAGCTGGGACTACAGGCACCCGCCACTATGCCTGGCTAATTTCTTTTTGTATTTTTAGTAGAGACGGGGTTTCACCACATTAGCCAGGATGGTCCTGATCTCCTGACCTCATGATCCGCCCGCCTCGGCCTCCCAAAGTGCTGGGATTACCGGAGTGAGCCATCGCGTCTGGCCAACTAGTGACCTTTTTTATGTGCTTATTAGCCACTCACGTATCTGCCCTGGTGAAATACCTGTTCAGGTCTCTTACTCATTTGTATCGATTGATTGATTGAGACAGGGTCTTGCTCTGTTACCCAGGCTGTAGTTCAGTGGTGCGTTATAGCTCACTGCTGCTTTGAACTCCTGGGCTCAAGCTATCTTCCCAGCTCAACCTCCTGAGTAGCTGGGACTATAGGCCCACGCCACCACATCTGGCTAATTTTTTGTAGAGACAGACTCTATGTTGCCCAGGCTGGTCTTGAACTCCTGGGCTCAAGTGATCCTCCCCGCTCAGCCTGCCAAAATGCTAGGATTACATGCATGCACCACCATGCCTGGCCTCTTATTCATTTTTCAGTGGGATTATTTATCTTGCTTTTGAGTTGTAGGAGTTCTTTATGTGTTCTGAGTAAAAGTCCTTCTTTAGATATATAATTTACAACTATTGTCTCCTTGTTTGGCTTGTCCTTTCATTTTTTAGGTGATGTTTGAAGCACAAAGGTTTTCAATTTTAATGAAGTCCAGTTCATCAGTTTTTTTCTTTTATGCATCAGGATTTTGGTGTTGTAGCTAAGACTTTTTGCCTAATCCATTGTCATGAATTTTTTTCTATGTTCTGCTAAAAATTTGATAGTTTTAGTTATTATATTAAGGTTTATGTTCCATTTTGCGTTAGTTTTTATGCATGGTTTGAGATAAAGGTCTAAATTTATCTTTAGTGTGTGGGTGTTCAATTGTTGCAACACTGTTGAAAAGAATACTTTTGTCCAATTGAATTGCCTTGGCACCATTGTCAAAAAAAATCAGTTGATCATAAATGTAAGAGTTCATTTCTTGATACTCAGTTCTGTTTCATTGCTCTGTGTGTCTATCCTTATACCAGTACAGTGCTGTTCTGGTTACCATTGCTTTAAAGTAAAATTTGAAATTTGTAAGTGTGGGTCCTCCAATTTTTTACTTTTTTCAAAATTGCTTTGTCTATTCTGGATTTTTTGCATTTTCATATACATTTTAGGACCAATATCTATATAAAGTATGCAAGTTTCTGCAAAGTCTTGTTGGGATTTTGATAGAGATTGCACTGAATCTGTTGATCAGTTTGGGAGAATTGCCATCTGAACAATATTGAGTCTTCCAATCCATGAAAATGGTTGGTGGGGGGGGTCTATTTATTTAGATCTTATTTAATTTCTCTCTTCAGCATTTTGAAGTTTTCAGTGTAAAGGTCTTGTACCTCTTTTGTTAAATTTATTTCTAAATATTTTATTTTTGATCTTTTGAATGGAATTAAAAAATATTTTTGGTTTGTTCATTGCTAGTATATAGAGATACAGTTGATTTTTGGATATTATACTTGTATCCTTCAACCTTGCTGAACTTGTTTAGTATTTCTAGTAGTTTTTTGTGGGTTCCTGAGAATTTTCTGTATACAGGATAATTTTTTCTGTGAGTAAAGACAGTTTTATTTCTTCCTTTCCAATCAAAATGCCTTTAATCCATCCCTCCCTACCTCCCCCCCTTCCCCCTCCCTTCCTTGCTTCCTTCCCTTTTCCTTCCTCTCTCCTTCCTTCCCTCCCTCCCTCTTCCAGTACAAGGTTGAATAGAACTGAGAGCAGACATACTTGGCTTTCTCTTGCTCTAAAGGGAAAAGCATTCAGACTTTCACTGTTAAGTATGATGTTATTTGTAGGTAGATGTTGTAAAAAAGGAAAGGTGGGGACAAGGATTTGAGAAATATTTAAGAGTTAGAATAAACACGATTTAGCAACTAATTATGTATACTTTACACCAGGATATAATTTTGTATGTTTATGGGTAAGGCAGCTCTGGGTTTATTTTTATAATGAAGTAGGGTGGAATTTAAGATAAATTTATATCCTTTTAGGAGGATTGACCTTTTGCAGTAGATACTTTTCTTTTCTCTCTGTTTTTAATTGCCAATTTCAGGTCAGTGTTAATATTTACAAATGCTAAATTTTTGAATTCTTTTCTTTATGTAATTATAATGTAATATGTTCCATGAAATAGGGAGCAGTATTATCACCAGCTTTTAGTTGATGAAACTGAGATTTATATGGAAATGCTGTTGATCACAGTGATAGAGCCATCCAAGTCTCCTTAATACAGTGCTTTCTAATGTAAAAATAATTTTGAGTAATGTTATCCCCAAAATAGTGTCAGATGGGATATATGAGACACCTGACATCTTTTTTTTAATCCTTTTTCCCACCAGAAAAGGAGGTATATTTTAAATGTTAAGTGTATTATGTAGAAGGACTGTTTCTTTTTGGTTTTGTTTCACATATCAACGTGTATATGTTTTAGTTTTCTTGAGCCTTTAGTGGTTACTGGGATCCAGTCTTCTGTGTTCCTAAACATTTTAACACGGGCTAACTTACAAATGACATAAAGACAATGGCTTAGATTGGCATTTTATTTAGCCATACATGAAGGATAGGAAACAGATCATAACAATGGTGGTAGTCATTCTAGTGTTCCTATTACTATGTTAGTATATACACCAGACATTTTTACTGGATATCTTTAACTGACCTGTGAAAGGCTGGGTTTTGGAAAATAGACAAATCATTAATATAAACTATAGCAAGAATTATTTTATCTTTGGAAACCTGCTTCCATGGAAAGCTTTAGGAGCTTTATGGATCTGAATTCAAACCCTGCCTCTACCTTTCATAAACTTGGGCAAGTTACTTTATTTTTGAAATGTATCTAAAAATATCTATTTTTTAATTATAAAATAATGTTGCTGCAGAGAATTTAGAAATACAGAAAGCCCTCAAAAATCACCCATAATTCTTGATTCAGACAGAAATCTCTGCCTCATAGAACTTACATTCTAGTGATAATCTTTGGAAAAACTGGAAATAGTTTAAAGGTCCACCCGTGGAGACTGGTTAAATATGTTTGTTTATCCATACCAGGGACTTTATAGCAGATAAAAAGGAGATTAGTAGTTAAGAATGAGGTCTTTATGTTCAAATTTTAGCTCTATTCCTTATCAGTTATGTGAAACTCTTGAAATTTCAATATTTGAATAGAGTACCTACTTCATAGGGTTTTCTAAAGATTGAGGTATAACAAAAGTAACACTTTGCACAGTATGTGACACGTTGTAAGTGCCTGACAAATGTTGCTAGTTTTATTAGTTTTATGTGCCAATATGGAAAGATTTCTAATATATATTGTATAATGTAAGGTATCAAGAAATGATTATTGTATGATGTCATGTGTGGACATTAAAAAATAAGGATTTCTTATATATGTAATGATAGATACACATCTATTTCTTGAAGGATACCAAGAAAATATTAACTAGTTACATCTAGGGAATAAGACTGGGGATTGGGGATTGGAGATGGCAGAGAGATGGACCTTTTATTTTCACCTCTTTGTGAAGTTTGAAATTTTTTCTTCCTAAGTTTGCATTTTGTAATGCCATTTATTTATTTATTTAAAAGATTTCTTGTATCAGGTTTTTTTTTTTTTGTCTTCATTTTGGAAAATCTTATTTCCTCTGCTTCTCATAGTAACTTTATGTAATAGTAGGGCTTGAAAGTAATTCTGTAACCAGCCCTTTGCAGATATGCTAAAGACACATTAGAGACTATTTTGAGATAAGCAAACAAATTATATATCCTGTTAAAAAAATTGTTTTTAAAAAAGTTTCATACAGAATAGGAGAGTATTGTGTTTTGGTAGTAGTTTTTTTACTTTACCAGATTACAAAGATGATAATAATGATCTCAACTAGACTGAGACTATTTTTCCCCTGCAAATATTTTTCTATTTGACAATAATAGATAAGAAGGCATACTTTTTTCTTCCCTTTTAATCAGTTAGAAACCAACATCACTTATGAATTGGTTTACTCTAAAAGGTGTTTTGAAAGTACTAGGTAGTCTCTAAGTTCATTCTTATTCAGTATCTCTCTCTTTTCCTCTCTCTAAATTCTTATATCTGTTTCTCCATTTCTCTCTCTCTCCCCATTGTCTTAGACTTTGAGGATATAACGATTAATAAGATATGGTCCCTGCCCTGAAGGAGCTCTCGTAAGTTGTTCCATTCAAGCATTCTTAGTCAATTACTTTTCTGGCGAAGGAATTATGAATTTTTCTTTTCTATTCCTGTGTTTTTCACTTTAGCTCTGTAAACACTGGGTAAGCACTTTGTATGTGCTGGGCACTCTGCTAGAGATAATGTGTCTGGAATTGGTGGGTTCTTGGTCTCACTGACTTCAAGAATGAAGCCGTGGACCCTCGCAGTGAGTGTTACAGCTCTTAAGGTGGCGCGTCTGGAGTCTGTCCCTTCTGATGTTCAGATGTGTTCAGAGTTTCTTCCTTCTGGTGGGTTCGTGGTCTCGCTGGCTCAGGAGTGAAGCTGCAGACCTTTGCGGTGAGTGTTACAGCTCTTAAGGCAGCGCGTCTGGAGTTGTTCGTTCCTCCCGGTGGGCTCGTGGTCTCGCTGGGCTCAGGAGTGAAGCTGCAGATCTTCGCGGGGAGTGTTACAGCTCATAAAAGCAGCGTGGACCCAAAGAGTGGGCAGTAGCAAGATTTATTGCAAAGAGCGAAAGAACAAAGCTTCCACAGTGTGGAAGGGGACCCAAGCAGGTTGCCAATGCTGGCTCGGGCAGCCTGCTTTTATTCTCTTATCTGGCCCCACCCACATCCTGCTGATTGGTAGAGTCGAGTGGCCTGTTTTGTCAGGGCGCTGATTGGTGCGTTTACAATCCCTGAGCTAGATACAAAGGTTCTCCACGTCCCCATCAGATTAGTTAGATACAGAGTTTCCACACATAGGTTCTACAAGGCCCCACCAGAGCAGCTAGATACAGAGTGTCGATTGGTGCACTCACAAACCTTGAGCTAAACACAGGGTGCTGATTGGTGTGTTTACAAACCTTGAGCTAGATACAGAGTGCCGATTGGTGTATTTACAATCCTTGAGCTAGACATAAAGGTTCTCCACGTCCTCACCAGAGCAGCTAGATACAGAGTGTCGATTGGTGCACTCACAAACCTTGAGCTAAACACAGGGTGCTGATTGGTGTATTTACAATCCCTGAGCTAGATATAAAGACTCTCCACGTCCCCACCAGACTCAGGAGCCCAGCTGGCTTCACGTAGTGGATCCCGCACCAGGGCTGCAGGTGGAGCTGCCTGCCAGTCCTGCGCCGTGCGCTCGCATTCCTCAGCCCTTGGGTGGTTGATGGGACTGGGCGCTGTGGAGCAGGGGGTGGCGCTCGTCGGGGAGGCTCGGGCCGCAAAGGAGCCCACGGAGGGGGTGAGAGGCTCAGGCATGGCGGGCTGCAGGTCCCGAGCCCTGCCCCGTGGGAAGGCAGCCAAGGCCCGGCGAGAAATCGAGCGCAGCACCGGTGGGCCGGCACTGCTGGGGGACCCAGTACACCCTCCGCAGCCACTGGCCCGGGTGCTAAGTCCCCCATTGCCCGGGGCCAGCAGGGCTGGCTGGCTGCTCCGAGTGCGGGGCCCACCAAGCCCACGCCCACCCGGAACTCCAGCTGGCCCGCAAGTGCCGCACACAGCCCCGGTTCCCGCTCGTGTCTCTCCCTCCACACCTCCCTGCAAGCTGAGGGAGTGGGCTCCGGCCTTGGCCAGCCCAGAAAGGGGCTCCCACAGTGCAGTGGGGGACTGAAGGGCTCCTCAAATGCCACCAAAGTGGGAGCCCAGGCAGGGGAGGTGCCGAGAGCAAGCGAGGGCTCTGAGGACTGCCAGCACGCTGTCACCTCTCAATAAGATGAAGTTTTGACTTTTAATTGCTTCATTCCTTGTAAGGAGATAGGTAAACAGATTTCAAAACAATTTGATAGGTGCTGTGACTTTGGTATTGCTTGGTTATCACAATGAGATAGAAAAATGCCACTAGAGTTTGAAAACATGTAATTTCTTGAATGGCAGAAATGAACCTGTTTTGGGACATTTATACCAAGTAAGAGACAGCATAGAATACCCCAATCAGACGTGAAGTTTTCTTGTCTATTCCTCAAGGAGGTTGCAAAGGTGCTTCTGAAGTAGTGTGTCAGACCCGGAAAGCCAAATTCTTGATACTTCACTGTACTCTTTTCCCCCCACCATACTTTTATACTTATGGGTTGCATAACTACTGTTCCATAGAAACCTTTTCAACTTACATGCTACTATCAAAGAGAGTGCTTACAAACATTGGGCTTTCCCACTACTGAAATCAAACTCAATTAGCAAGGCAATGTTCTTATTCAACAAGAGAAAGCAGTCAGTGGCTAGTCTGCTGCCTGTCTGAATTTGTCTCCTGGAAGCTCCTTTTCCTTGAATGTATGCAGATAAGCACAGGGTGCTTTGAAAGTATAGGGAGGAGTGTCCAAACAGATTTAGACACTCAATTGTATGGAACAGAAAGAATCAGGCAGGGCTTTATGGAGGATGTGATATACATACCTCTTGAAGTTTATTTGCCCCATCTTACTTCATATTTGATTTGTTCGTTTCCCCACTAAGGCAGAGTAATAATAATTGAAGCCTTTTTTTTTTTTTTTTTGAGGCAAGGTCTCACTTTATTGCCCAGGCTGGAGTGCAGTGGTACGATTAAGGCTTACTATAGCCTTGACCTCCTGGGCTCAAGCTGTCCTCCTGCTTCAGCCTCCCAAGTAGCTAGTCCTCCCACCTCAGCCTCCCAAGTAGCTAGGACTACAGGTAGACACTATTGACTCCTGGCTAATTTTTTGTATTTTTAGTAGAGACAGAGTTTTGCCATGTTGCCCAGGCTGGTCTCAAATTCCTGGGCTCAAGCGATCCTCCTGCCTGGACCTCCCAAAGTGCTGGAATTACAGGCATGAGCCACTGCTGAAGCCTCCAACTGAAGACTTTTAAGCTAAATTACAAATATCATTTGCATCTCTAAAATATTAATACAAGGACATTTTACTATATGCTGCTTTCCACACAGTAAAAACATTTTAAAAAAACCCTAATGACTCTTATGTATTACCTTGCCCATGTTCAAATTTCTCATCCCCCAAAATATATTTTACAGCTGGTTTGCTCAAATCAGGATCCAGTAGTAACCATATGTTGCATTTGGTTATATCTCATAAATCTGTTTTTCCACCCTCTTAAATAGACTTTGCCTTTTAGTCTTAAGTCTTTTTTACACTAAAACTTAGTCCACTGCCTTTACTTGTTAATTTATCCACCACATTGACCCGTAAGAGATTTTGGCACATAGCATGACCTGCCTTCTAGTTTTTGTCTGATGGCTTCCTCGCAATAGTATTATACTGTTCTCTGTATTTCCCGTAAACTGGAAGTTAGATGTAAAGGTTTGATTCGATTCAGGTTAAACATTTTTTGGCACAAATACTTACTAGGTGGTACAGTGTTGTTTTTCTTTAGTCTGTTGTTTTCTTTCTATTTATTTATTTATTTATTTTATTTTGTTTTTTTGAGACGGAGTCTTGCTCTGTTGCCCAGGCTGGAGTGTAGTGGCATGATCTCGGCTCACTGCAACCTCCAGCTCCCTGGTTCAAGCAATTCCCCTGCCTCAGTCTCCCAAGTAGCTGGGATTACAGGTGCCTGCCACCACGTCTGGCTAATTTTTTTGTATTTTTCGTAGAGACGGGGTTTCACCATGTTGGCCAGACTGGTCGCGAACTCCTGACCTCAGGCAGTTCGCCTGCCTCAGTCTCCCAAAGTGCTGGGATTACAGGCGTGAGCCACTGCGCCCGGCCTATTTATTTATTTATTTTTGAAATGGAGTCTCTCTGTGTCACCTAGGCTGGAGTGCAGTCACGTGATCTAGGCTCACTGCAACCTCTCCACCTCCCAGGTTCAAGCGATTCTCCTGCCTCAGCCTCCCAAGTGGCTGGGACTGCAGGCACGCACCACCATGCCCAGCTAATTTTTGTATTTTTAGTAGAGATGGGGTTTCACTTGTTTTCTTTATTGTTAATTCCAACTCAGTTCTAACACTCTGATACAACCCATCATTCATCAGTTTTGAACTTAGATAGTTACACTACTGCAGTGTCAGCTGCTCTCTTCCTTTTCTTTTGGGGATTTTTAGCTAGTCCTTTTTTTCTTTGTCCCTGATATATCCTTTACCCTTCATTTCTTCCCTGACTTCTATCTCAGATACAAATAATGCCAGTTCCAAGATACCTTATTATTTAACATAGTACATTCCAGCTATTTTTTTTGTGACTTTATAGGAGCAGCTCAACTAAACTTTCTTATGACTTTAGTATGAACTCTCCTTATTCATTTTTTCTCAGGCTTTACTTCTGGTCCCATGAAGAATGACTAGAGAGAGGCAGGCACAGATTGGCCTTATCACCCCTTGGTTCATTCTGGAAATCATGACTAGATAGGGTGTCTGAAAGTAGGAGTGGGTTAGAAGAAAGGTTAAATGCAACATAATTTTCTCTCGGAATGTGGGTCTTTTGCTAGTTATTTCCAACATCATATAATGAATGGCCTGAGCGGATGCTTTCTTTTGTGAAAACTGTAATGTGTGTTGACATACGTAGCTTGTAGGAATGGAGAGAGTGGATAAAGAGATAAATAGGTCAAATACTGGATCATGTTTTCTTGGGAGGGATAGAAGTTTTTTTCATATTATAATTTAGGGGCATAAGTAACTACAGAATTTTTGACCTTTTCTACTTTGCAGTTAATATTAATGGTTCATTAGAAGGAAAAAAGACTGCCTTGTTTTTCTTTCTGAGCTATCACTAGGAGTAAGAAAAAATCTGATTGGAAAAAGTAACCTCTGATAAAGGATTTTAACTGGTATCAGGGCTTATATTTATTCATTAACATTTCTTTCTTGCATACTTTGGATCATGATATGGTTAAGAGATAGAGTTTTTTTATTTGGGAAGATTCCTTCACTACCATTTTATGAAATCTTTGCAGAAGGTCCCAGTTGTAAATGCATCCCTTGTCTGGGTTGCACATATTTTTATGGCTACTATAGCTCAGTTTGGAAATGGTTCTTGTTGCATTATCACAACTTATTTTCAAATTAATAGATTTTCTTTTTTGGGGGGAAATTAATGTCATGTAGAAAGATATTTGCAATATGAGGATTATCGTTTTTATGTCTGTTATTAAACAAAAGATTGCCTCTTTTTGAAGTAACTATGTTTCATTATTTTAAATTTCACATTTTAACATCTGAAATCTTCAATTAACTGATGGTATGGTGGTTAATTGGCAAAGTTTTTATTTATTAGCTGTACATGGAGTAATGTCATTTCTTAACAATTAGTGATTTTTTAAATTTTTATTTATTTATTTTTGTGACAGAGTCTCACTCTGTCGCCCAGGCTGGAGTGCAGTGGTGCAATCTCAGCTTACTGCAAGCTCTGCCTCCTGGGTTCTCACCATTCTCCTGCATCAGCCTCCTGAGTAGCTGGGACTACAGGTGCCCACCACCACGCCTGGCTAATTTTTTTGTATTTTTAGTAGAGACAGGGTTTCACCATGTTAGCCAGGATGGTCCTGATCTCATGACCTTGTGATCCGCCCGCCTCGGCCTCCTAAAGTGCTGGGTTTACTGGTGTGAGCCACCGTTCCCGGCCAGTGATATCTTGAATTTGATGAAATACAGCAGTTTACTATTCAGTTTACTCATGATTTAGCCCCAGAAACACTGAGCTAGTGCTGAGATTGGTAGAGTGAGGTGAGTAGCAATGAGGGAGGTAGAAAGTTTATTTTGTGTCCTTTTTTTTTTTTTTTTTTTTTTTTTGAGATGGAGTCTCGCTCTGTCACCAGGCTGGAGTGCAGTGGCGCAATCTCGGCTTGACGTGATCTCGGCTCACCGCAACCTCCGTGGATTCAAGCGATTCTCCTGCCTCAGCCTCCCAAGTAGCTGGGACTACAGCCAAGGCACCACCACGCCTGGCTAATTTTTGTATTTTTAGTAGAGGCGGGGTTTCACCACGTTGTTCAGGATGGTCCCGATTTCTTGACCTCGTGATCTGCTGGCCTTGGCCTCCTAAAGTGCTGGGATTACAGGCGCGAGCCACCGCGCCTGGCCTGTTTTGTGTCTTTTTAAAGGCTTTTACATAGTCTCATCTCAGCTTCGATGAGAGGATCAGGATATGTAAGGACTTCAAGCTAAACATAATAATGAATACTCACATTATATAGGCTTCATTAAAATCCCTAATGAGGCTAGGCACGGTGGCTCCTGCCTGTAATCCCAGCACTTTGGGAGACCAAGGTGGGTGGCTCACCTGAGGTGAGGAGTTCGAGACCAGCCTGGTCAACATGGCGAAGCCCCGTCTCTACTAAAAATACAAAAAAATTAGCTAGGCGTGGTGGTGCATGCCTGTAATTCCAGCCACTTGGGAGGCTGAGGCAGGAGAATCGCTTGAACCTGGAAGGCGGAGGTTTTGGTGAGCCGAGATCGCGCCACTGCACTCCAGCATGGGCAACAGTGAGACTCTGTTTCAAATAAATAAATAAAAGCCCTAATGGAGTCCTAAACTGAAGCGAATGTTCCTGTCTTTTCAGACAAAGGATTACATAATTTGCCCTTTGCCCTCTCCTGAATCTGTTCTCCCTCTCAAAGATTTCATTCTCTCTCCAGATTTCAGCTCTAACCTCTAATTGTTTTCTTGGTGCTTTGGTGCTGTTGTCTTCCTCCCTTGTCGTTAACTTTTTTTTTTTTTTTTTAAACTAGTAGACTTTTTTGGGAGGGGGCAGTTTTAGGTTTACAGAAAAATGAATGGAAAGTATAGAAAGTTCTTATACATTCTCTCTTCTCTCCCAAATTTCTCCAGTTAGCATCTTGCTTTAGTATGGTACATTTGTTATAATTGATGAGCCAATATTGATGTACATTGTTATTAACTAAAAGTTTCATTGTCCGAAACATCCCGTGTAGGAGTTTTTTTGTCATGCTGCTAATAAAGATATATCCAAGACTGGGTAATTCATAAAGGAAAGTGGTTTAATGGACTCGTAGTTCCACATGGCTGGGGAGGCCTCACAATCATGGCAGAAGACGAAGGAGGAGCAGAGGGACATCTTACATGGTGGCTGGAGAGAATGAGAGCCAAGCAAAAGGGGAAACCCCTTATAAAACCATCAGATCTCATGAGACTTCTTCACTACCATGAGAACAGTATGGGGGAAACTGACCCCATGATTCAGTTTTCTCTCACAGGGTCCCTCCCACAACACATGGGAATTATGGGAGCTATAATTCAAGATGAGATTTGGGTGGGGACACAGTTAAACCATATCACCCTATTTCTACTTATTCATTCTTCCTTTCTTGTCCCCACTCTAGCCCCTGACAACCACTGGTCTTTTTACTGTCTTCCATAGTTTTGCCTTCTTCAGAATAAAATATAGTTGGAATCATACAGATTGGCTTCTTTCACTTAGCAATATTCTTTTAAGGTTCCTCTATGTCTTTCATGGCTTGATAACTCATTTCTTTTTATCATTGAATAATACTTCATTGTATAGATGTAACACAGTTTGTTTATCCAGTTACCCATTGAAGGATAGCTTGATGCTTCCAAAGTTTGGCAATTATGAATAGGAAGTTAGCCTTTTAAAACACAAATATATAAAGTACCTCAAGTCACCTACTTGAAAAAGGTTGAGCTAATTCAGTATCTTAAGCCCTAAAGAATGATAACTCTTATTTTTGTGTAAACATTTCCAGTTGTGTAGTTGGCTCGTAACAGTGCTCAGTAAAAGTGTGTGAAATGATTGAATATGAAAGAAGGAAGGAGGAATTGAAGAGAAGCAGGAGAAAAGATTATATCTTAAATCTAGATACTTTTAGGAAAATGAGATTATCTTGAAACTCAGCTGGAAACTCTAATGGGGACCAAGATGGTCAGGGCTCTGAATTAAATCATTAGCTTGAAAACACTCTAGAGTTTTTTATTCCTAATTCTTATACTTTAAAGTGTATATATATTTTAATTTAATATACATTTTAAGTGTATACTTTAAAGTATATACATTTTAATATACACATCTTTTTATAGCTCCCAACTACAGAGCCAGCTCTATAGTTGCAGCTCTATTGTAGGCCAAAGTGTGTTCCCTAAAATGCCATATAAGAAAAAACCTCATATGGGTTGTCTGTCAGTCTTGTACCCTACATCAACATAAGACGTTGTAATGTAATTATAAACTAGAAAAGCATTTCCTAAAATATTTTACGAATTTCTAGCCTTATTGTTATGCTGAGATTTTGTTTTTCTTTAAATGAATCTTTAATGTATTTAGCTTCCCTCCATTTTAAACTAGTTTAGTTTTTTTTTTTTTCAATAATGCGTATGTTTTTGCTTTCTTCATTGTAGAACGGTGGCAGCCGAAGTTAGGAAGCAGATCTCCGGACAATATAGTGGTTCTCCCCAACTGCTCAAAAACCTTAATATTGTTGGCAATATATCCCATCACACCACAGTAAGTAACGTATTCAAAATATAGTCTCTTCTTGGTGTATGATTGACTAGGCCATGAAAAAATAGTGGAAAGATAAGAGCTAATTGGGTTCCGTCATTAGTCTCATAACCTTACTTGTTACCTCATTTTGTTGAAATCTGAGTTGGGAGAGGATGTTGGGGGTGTTATAGAATTGCTAGTTTCCTAGCCAACTCTGAAACTTTATAGTCAGGATTTAATCAATCCTGGAATTTTACATTTAGAACTTTTTTTTCTTCTTTTTTTGAGACCGAGTCTCACTCTGTCGCCCAGGCTGGAGTGCAGTGGCGCGTTCTCGGCTCACTGCAACTTCCGCCTCCTGGGTTCCAGTGATTCTCATGCCTTAGCCTCCTGAGTAGCTGGGACTACAGGCATGTGCCACCATGCCCAGCTAATTTTTGTATTTTTAGTAGAGATGAGGTTTTACCATATTGGCCAGGCTGGTCTTGAACTCCTGACCTTGTGATCCACCTTCCTCGGCCTCCCAAATTGCTGGGATTACAGGTGTGAGCCACCGCGTCCGGCCCTAGAACTTTTAAAGACTGAAGGTGATTCATTATGTGAAAATTTAGGAATCTATTCTAGAAACAAGCACCGAAGTAAATTATTTGGGTTTGTAGTATTATCTGTCCCCTTTAAGATAAATGAATTTATATTTATTGAATTATTACTGTAAGCCCAGTACTGTGTCAGAGACATAAATGTTCTCTTATTAAAGAAGCTGGCATGAGGAAATTCAGTTTTGATAAAAACTAATATTTATTATATTAGAAATATGAATTAAAAACATACCTCCATTTGTCTTAAAATTAGAGGTCATTTTTACAAAATGCTGTGGGAAACTAAAAAAAGCAAATAAGCATGATAGGGTGGAGTTATATATTAGCATTTTCCATTTAGCTGTGAAAGGGTACGTGTTATTGAACAAACTGGGAAATAACAGTTTGATCGACTTATAATGATATAATGTTTGTGTTACTAAAATTTGAAAACATAAAGTTTACTTTTAATTACAGTAACATGCTAATTGCAGAAATTTTAGAATATATGGATTTTTGGCTGATTTCAATGTACATGGAGATAATCCTTCCAAAATGCTCTTGGTGTCTTGAACGCCTCTCTTCCAGTGATATTATTTTGCATCCTGAATTACACCTTAACTACTCAAAATTTCTATAATCAGACCTTAGATTTTTGTCATTATGAATAACTATAACCCATATGTAATCTTAGTTTTACACTTCCCACTCTCTGATCACCACGTCTTATCTTTATGGCCTTCTTGTTCTGGTACCCTGACTCCAATTGTCCTTCCACATCACTAGGACCTAGAATCCATGAACCCATTGAATTAGTCATAGGTAGCGACTTCCCAGGTTTTGTCATTATTTTCACTGAGTATTTATTTGTGACATTTTAAATTCTGAGCTATATACTGCCCTAGAAATAATATCTGGGCAAAAAACGCTGAATTAGAAAAAAATTGAATTTAAAAAAATATTTATATATGTATAATATATACTTACATGCTATATTTGTATATATAATAGATATAGTGGTAAAATATACATAACATAAAATTTACCATTCTAACCAGTTTTATTTATACAATTCACTGGCATTAAGTACATTTACAGTATTGTACAACCATCACCACTATTTATCTCCAGAACTTTTTCATTATCCCATACTGAAACCCTGTACCCATTAAACAATAACTTCCCATTTTCCCCCCTTCCCAACTCCTGATAATATATTCTCTTTCCTGCCTTTATGAATTTGCCTCTTCTGTGTACCTGATGTAAGTGGAATCATACAGTATTTGTCCTTTTGTGTCTAGCTTATTTTACTTAGCAGAATGTTTTAAAGGTTTATTCAGGTTGTGGCCTGTATCTTTTTTTTTTTTTTTCAGACAGGTTCTTGCTTTATCATCGAGGCTGAGTACCATGGTACCATCATAGCTCACTATAGCCTTGACCTTCCAGGCTCAAGTGATCCTCCCATATCAGCCTCCTGAGTAGTTGGGACTACATGCGCATGCCATCATGCCTGGCTAATTTTTGTATTTTTTATAGAGACAGGGTCTCACTATGTTGCCTAGGCTGGTCTTGAACTCCTGGGTTCAAGTGATCCTCTTTGGCCTCCCAAAGTGTTGGGATTACAGATGTGAGCCACCATGCGTGGCTGATTTAATTCATTTTTAAGGCTGAATAGTACTCCATTATATGTATATGCCACATTTTGTTTATTCATTAATTTTGATGGACATTGGGGTTGTTTGCAAACTTTTGGCTATTGTGAATAATGCTGCTATGAACATGAGAGTACAATTAGCTTTTTGATTTACTGTTTTCAGTTCTTTTGGGTATATACCTAGAACTGGAATTGCTAGATCATAGAGTAATTCTGTGTTTATTGTATGCTTTTTGAGGAGCCACCAATCTGTTTTTCCTAGCAACTGTATCATTTTACATTTCCACCGTCAATGCACAAGGGTTCAAATTTCTCCATATTGTTGTCCACACTTGTTATTAACCATTTTAAAAATAATAGCCATTCTAATGGGTACCAAGTGGTATCTCACTTATACTTTTGGTTTACATTTCCCTATCTGCAAATTTTATGTTGTATTTTCATTTAGTTCAATGTATTTTTTCATTTCATTTTTCAGACTTTTGTAACTCATGGATTATTCAGAAGTATGTTTAATTTCTAAGTGTTTGAAGATTTTCCTATTATCTTTCTGTTGCCACTTTCTAGTTTGATTCTACTATAGTCAGAGAACACATTCTGTCTGATTTCAGTTCTTTTTAAATTTGTTGAAGTTTGTTTTATGGGTCAGAGTATGGTCTGTCTTGGTGTATACTTTTGGGACCTTTGTAAAGAATGTATATTCTGTTGTCATCGGGTGGAGTGTTCTATAAATGTCAGTTAGATCTATTGGTTGATGGTGCTTTTGAATTATACTGTATCCTTGTTGATTTTCTAGAATCTGCAGAAAAGAGATCTCTTGAATTCTGCAAGTATAATTGTGATATGTCTTATTTCTTCTTTCAGTTCAATCAGTTTTTGCTACACCTATTTTATAGCTCTGTTATTTAGTACATACACAGAGTATAACTCTGTTATTTAGTACATACACATTTAAGATTGCTATGTCCTCTTGGATCATTCCTTTTATAATGAAGGTAATGTCCCTCTCTATTTGATACGGTTCTTTGCTCTGAAGTCTGTGTTTTCCCTTATTAACTTAGCCACTCCAGCTTTCTTTTGAATAATTGTCGCCTGGTATATCTTTTTCCATACTTCTATTTTCAACCTACCTATGTTGTGTTATTTGAAGTGAGTTATTTGTAGATACCACATTGTTAGGTCATATTTTAAAGTCCTTTCTGCTAATCTCTTACTGTTTACATTTACATTTATAATACAATGTATAAATTTGTAATTTAATGTTGTTACTCTGTTAGGGTTTAAATCTACCATTTTATTTTTTGTTTATTCTCTATTTTTCATCTCTCTGTTTTCTTTTTTTCTACTTCTCTGGGGTTACCTAAACATTTTTTAGAATTCCATTTTGATTTATAGTGTTGTGGAGAGTATCTCTTTGTATAGCTTTTTTAGTGGCTGCACAAGGTATTGTGTTATATCCATGACTTATCACAGTATTGGTGTTGATATATTACCAGTTTGAGTAAAGTGTAGAAACCTTACCTATTTTTACATCCCTTTACCCTCTCCTGTATATAATTGTCTTAAACATTTTTCTATAAACACTTAGAATCATACTGGACAATTTAGAAAAGTCAAGAGGAAAAGGAAAGTCTATTGTATTTACCTATATTTTTTGCTCGTGCTGTGTTTCTTTTTCCTTCCTAATATTTCCAGATACCTTTTATTATATTTCCAGATACCTTTTATTATTTCCTTTTGGTTTAAGGAATTTCTTTTAGCCATTCTTTTAGAATAGATCTGCTGGTGACAGAGTCTCTTAGTTTTATTTTATCGGAGTATGTCTTGATTTCCCCTTCATTTTTTTTTTTTTTCTCTTTTGAGACAGGGGTCTCACTCTGTCACCCAGGGTGGAGTGTAGTGGTGCAATCTCAGCTTACTGCAACCTCTGCCTCCCAGGCTCAAGTAATTCTCCCACCTCAGCCATCGGAGTAGCTGGGACCACAGGTGCATGCCACCATGCCTGGCTAATTTTTTGTAAATTTTTGGTATAGTTGAGGTTTTGCCATGTTTCCCAGGCTGGCCTTGAACTCCTGAGCTCAGTCGATCCACCTGCCTTGGCCTCCCAAAGTGCTGGGATTACAGCCATGAGCTACTGCGCCCGGCCTTCCCCTTCATTCTTCAAGGATATTTGCAGGATCTAAAATTCCAGGTGGTCAGTTATTTTCTTTCAGCACTTGAAAAATGTTGTGCCACTTTCTTTTGACTGCCATGATTTTTTATGAGAAATCTAGGTTGAATTTTTTCCTCCTAGAGGTAATGTGTCGTTTTCTCCTCACTGCTTTCAAGATTTTGTTTTATTTTATTTTATTTTGGAGACTGAGTCTCGCTCTGTCCCCCAGACTGGAGTGCAGTGGTGCAATCTTGACTCACTGCAACCTCTGCCTCCTGGAGGCAGATTCAAGCGATTCTCATGCCGCAGCCTCCCGAGTAGCTGGGATTATAGGTGCCCGCCACCATGCCTGGCTAATTTTTATATTTTTAGTAGAGACAGGGTTTTGCCATGTTCGCCAGGCTGGTCTCGAACTCCTAACCTCAGGTGATCTGCCTGCCTCTGCCTCCCAAAGTGCTAGGATTACAGGTGTGAGCCACTGCACCTGGCCTTTCTTTTTTCTTTTCTTTCTTTTTTTTTTTTCTTTGTCTAAATTTGGTTGCTGTGTCATGGTACATATTTCTTTGGGTTTATCCTGTTTAAGGTTTGCTTAGCTTCTTGAGTCTGTAGGCTTATGTCTTTTTATGAAATTTAGAAGTTTTCAGCCATTGTTTTTTCAGATATATTTCAGCCCTGCCTTCTTTTTTCTCACTTTCTAGGACTCTGGTGATGCCAGTATTGGATATTTTAGTGTAGTTTGTCCCTGAAGATGTTTTTTATTTTTGTTTTTGTTTTGTTTTGATTTTTCACTCTGTTTTTCTTTTAATGCTGTTCAGATTGGATAATTTCTATTTTTCTTTCTTCAAGGTAGCTGATTTTTACCTCCTCTGTCCCCTCTTTTCTGCTATTGAATTTGTCTGTTGAATTTTCAGTTCTAAAATTTCCATTTAGTTCTTTATATCTTCTGTTTCTTTGCCGAGACTTTGTTTCTTTACAGAGAGTTTCTGGTTTTTCATTTATTTTAAGAGTGTTTACAATTGCTGTTGAATTATTTTTCTGATGTTTGCCTTGAAATCTTTGTCATATAATGCTAAGATCACTTATCTTGGTATTAACATCTATAAGTTGTCTTTTTAATTAGAGTTAAGATTTTCCTCGTTCTTAGTATGATGAGAGATTTTTTTATTGGAACTTGGACCTTTTGGGTCTTATGTTGTTAATTTCTAGGTCTTATTTAAACATATTTTAGCTGGTTTTCTTTGATATTGCTCTAGTTATAGGTGGATGCTATCTTGTTTTGGCCAGACGGAGTAGAAGTTCAGATTTCTTACTTGTCTTCTTTTGGTACACAAGGAGGGGAAGGACTCCTTGTTACTTACTGTTGAGCAGGAGGGAGGGTTCCCACTTCTACTGGACCACAGCCCACACTATTTAGCTGGGAAGGGTAGTAGTGCTCCTTACTGTTCCTCACATGGCCACCACTGACACCCAAGGGTGTGTGACCTTGTTACACTAGGCATTGGTGAACGTACTTACTCTCCACTAGACCTTCTCTGACAGTTCCCAAGTGATAAAGGAAAGAGGAGCCATGTTGCTGCTTCATAGGAGTTGATGTCCAGATTCCCTTAGTGGTCTCTACTGAGACTTTGGGAGTAAGAGATTCATTATTGCTCGGTAGATAGGAAAATCCCAACACCCTACTTGTGCTTCTCTGATACTACCCTGGTGGGGAGAGTTGGGATGCCTTGTTACAGCTTTGTGAGGGAAGAAATCTAGCTCCCCACTTGGCCTTTGTGCAGTTATAGTCTAAATGTTTTTTGTTTTGTCAGGCTGCTTCTTTTTTGATCTTTTGGCTGGGGAAAATAGGCTCCCCACCCCCCGGCCCTCCCACCCCTAGGGCTTCTTGGTGTATTCTGGGTTGTGGGCTTTTCTGGTTCTAAGTCTGGAATGTATAAGGCAAAAAGAAATTTTGAAGTAACTCACTGTCATGCCATTCCCTGGGTTCTGATGTCCCTGCCGGCCAGCCTTTTTCTCTATACCTTTCAGAGTCTTCTTAGGTTTGTTTTCTATGTAATATCTAGGCTGTTGTACTTAGTGGAAAGAATAGAGAAAAGTACTTCTACTTCATCTTTCCAGAAGGGAAAGTACCCCCTAGTGACTTTTGATGTTTGAGCACTTTTTTATGTGCTTTATTTTTTCCCATTTATTTGAGGGTTTGGCTTTTTAAAAAATTATTGAGATACAGGACTTCTTCATATATTCTAATTACTAGTCCTTTATCAAATGTTTTGTAAATACTTTCTCTTAGTGTGGCTTGTTCATCATTTTCTTAACAGTGTCTTTTAAGGAATCAAATTTTTCTTTTATGATTATTCTTTTTTCATGTGTAAGAAAACTTGGCCTACTCCCAAATTGTAAGGACATTTTGCTGTGTTTTCTTCAAATAGCTTTATAGTTTTAAGCATGTATGTTTGTGTCTGTGATCCATCTCAGTTTAATTTTTGTATATGTTGTGATACAAAGATTGGGGTTCATTTTTTATATGTGGATATCCAGTTCTAATAACAATGGTTAAAGAAGATTTCTCTTTTCCTGTTGGATTGCTTTCTTTTTCTTTGTTAAGAACATCATAGAATAATTTGTACTTAATAAGATAGGTAAGGTAGAAGGCTTATGAGAGAAAAAATCATAGAAAAAATTTTAGAGCTCGAAAACCCAGTTTCAAATTTCTGCTCTACCATTTTGTGGCTATTATATTTTCAGATGTTGGTTAACTTTTTTGAGCACAAATGCCCTTATTTGTAGAATTGAAATAGTAATTATATCTAACTTACAGGGTTTGGGGGAAGTTTAAATGAGATGGCATATACTGATAATGATAAATAACTACTATCTTTTGAGTGTTTAAGATGTGTTATTTATTATTTTACTCAATATCTTTAAAATGTTAAGTCCAGGCTGGGCGCCGTGGCTCACACCTGTAATCCCAGCACTTCGGGAGGCCGAAGCAGGCGGATTGCTTGAGCTCAGGAGTTCCAAAGTTAGCCTGGGCAACATGGCGAGACCCTGTCTCTACAAAAAAACACAAAAATTAGTGAGGCATGGTAGCTCACGCCTGTAATCCCAGCTACTTGGGAGGCTGAGGTGGGAGAATCCCTTGAGCCCAGGACGCAAAGGTTGCAGTGAGCTGAAATTGCACCATTGCACTCTAGCCTGAATGACAGAGGAAGAGCCCGTCTCAAAAAAAAAAAAAAAAAGAAAAGAAAAAAAAAGTTCAGTCCAAAGAAGCATAGGTTAAAGCACCTTCAGATTAATAATGTGCACCTGCACAGAGGCAGGTTTCAGTGTTTTTATTCCAGATGACTATCCTGAGAAATAACATGTTCTTATTTTCATTGGTCTATAACTGCATGTTTGTTTTATATCCTTTATAGGTTTGTCTGAATATTTTTTTCTTTTTCGAACTAGATAAGAAGTATGGTATTTTATTAAAAAGTATCTGGTTAAAAACTTGGCTGAAGAATGCTACCAGTCTTTTATTATTATTAATGGGTAGTTTTAATAGGGCCTGTGTATTCCTTTCGTATGGCTACTGTAACAAAGTACTACAAACTGGGTGGCTTAAAACAAAAGAAATTTATTCTCTCACAGTGCTAGAGGCCAAAAGTCTGAAATCAGTATCACTGGACTAAAATAAGGTTTTGGCAGGGCTGTGCTTTCTTCAGATTTCTCCTGGAGTATCAGTTCTTTGTCTCTTCCAAATTCTGATGGCTTTGGCATTCCTTGACTTGTGATCACATCATCTCTATCTTCAAGGCCAGGATATTCAAATCTCTCTCTTTTTCATCTTTATACAAATTTTTTCTCTCTGTGTATAGCCTAATCTCCCTCTGTCTCCTCATGAGGATATATGTGATTGCATTTAGAAACCACCTGGATAATCCAGCATAATACTCCCGTTTTAAGATCCTTAATTACATCTGCAAAGACTGTTTTATTTTTTATTTTTTTCCATATAAGGTGACATGTACAGGGCCCATGTGTTAGGATGTGGAGAATTTTTGGAGGGACATTTTTTAGCCTACCCCAGTCTGATTATATGTTTTTACTAGGATAATCAACAAAAACAAGAAATAAAGTAAGAGCACTGTTTAGAAACGTAGCAACTTACTTTTTTTTTTAATATCCAAAGATATAAAAAAGCAAAAATAATCCTTCCAGTGAGTACTTTGTAAACTATAAAGTAGAATAAAACTGTTAATTCTTACTAGTGTTTTTATGTGAGAGTTCTGGGCAAAGTATCAGCAAGGACATTAAAGAGAGTATGACCCAAAACATCAAGGAGTACAAGAAGGGTAACACTTTGTGTTTTCTTTAGTGCATCTGGTTGAATATCTGTGAAAATTTTAGAAAGAACTAGATTAAAAGCTTTTATTTAAAAAAATGTTATTTGCCTTAAGTTTTAAAATTATTACATTCACCTCTTGTTTTCTACCCATCTCTTATCCCAACTTTTTACAAAGGTGCCCCTTACCGAAGCAGTAGATCCAGTGGATTTGGAAGATTACCTCATTACTCATCCTTTGGCTGTGGATTCTGGGCCTTTACGGGATTTGATTGAATTTCCTCCAGATGATATTGAAGTTGTTTATAGTCCTCGGGACTGCAGAACTCTTGTTTCAGCTGTACCTGAAGAAAGGTAAGGAGACATTGACTTATTTTTGGCTTTAGAGGAACTATAGAAAGGCTACCTTCCATTATTTTATTTAGAGCCTACTTCTTATAGCATCATCATTTCCTGTTACGCAAACAGCGATTGTAGCAACCAAATTAATGAACATCAGTGCTGTCCCGTCTAAATTACAAATGTATTTTCCTTTTTAAAATAGTGAAATGGATCCACATGTTAGAGACTGTATAAGAAGTTATACAGAAGACTGGGCAATTGTCATCAGAAAGTAAGTTATATGTTTATTACAACATTTACAAATATTGAGTAAGATTTCTAAATGGATTAAGGCAGATTCGTAATGTTTATGAGACCTGAAAATTTATTTAAACAAAATAGCTGAAGAAACAAAAGAAGAACTTTTGTGTATAGATATTTACTCCTTAGGATTTCTGTAATACTTTTACTTTCTTTGTAAAATATAATTCATGGGAAAATAGTATTTCTGTATTATTATAAATCATTAAGAGCTACTAATGTATGATAATGATTTTGTGGTCTAATTCTTTTAGGAAATATTGGGTAGATATTGATGAATAATTTGTATTTCTCAAAAAGAATCCAGTTTAGTGAAACTTAAATAGCTAAGTTAAAATTAACAGGCAGTTTTACAGACCAAGCTATTTGAAAGGTCTCTGCTGTTTCTAACTAATATTTATAGGTCTTTGACCTCTACATCCAATCAGGTAAATATTTGTAAAAAATAATGTTTTGTTCTAGCCAAAATTTATTTTCCTAATAAACTGTGCAATAGCAAGTCAGATTAAGAAGTATAATAAAACTGATTTACACAATAATCATTTGCTAATTTGCATAATGGAGAAGGGTCTTCATACTGAATCTTCTTAACCTTATTTGATTTTTCTGAAGGAGATATGATTGAAGTAGTGGAGAATTCTGATACGGCATTATAGTTTTCACAAATGAAATAATCTATGCAAAATAGCACTAGCAAAAGTGATATATCCATTGCTGATTGTTTTGCCCTCATGGCTGTCTTATTTCACTAGGCTTTACATTGTGCTAAATATCACTCTGGGGGATAATGCTGACATGCTTTTTAGTTTCAGTGTGACCTAATAAAAGCACAGTCTGCTGCCCTTTATATAGAAGAGCTGTTTTTATGAACTTACAATTTTGATAAGTATTCTGGTAGCCAAATTTTAGACATTACTGAAGAATACTGTTTCTCAGTCAGATAATTCAAAAGTCTTTACCTCTGTGCATATATGTTAGAAACCTATAATCAGAAATCTTAATAAAAAGGTTAGTTGTAAAATATATTGACCTCAGAATCATGGAAATCTGCTACTTCTAAGCACAGGGTTGTTAACCTTGGTTTAGGCAAGAGGATAAGAGAATTAACATTTATGGGTTTACTGTGTGCTGGGCATTTTATTGGGCACTTTGCACTCATCTCATTTAAGGTTTTAACAGATAAGGTGGCTCAGGCTCAGAGTAGTTAGGTAACTTCTCTGAGATCCCACAAACCAAAAAATAGAGTAGTCAGGATTGGAATATAGGGGCATCAGATTCTAAAGCCCTTATTTTTTTCTATTATACTAGATATTATACATTATATGCACTGGTAAGTGGAAGACCAAAGGGAGTACTTTTGGTGAACTAGAAGTTATGAGGTATCTCTGAAACAAAGAAGATAGGTGTGATTGGAATGTAAGAGAAAACTATAGTACAGAATAATCTAAGGAGAAGATACATGCAAAAGCTTCAGTAGTGCTTTAAGCTCAGAACCAGTGAATGCAGGCAATGGAAAGGGAGACTTGGTAAATATTGGATATGTAGTTACTCTGAAACCTCTTCCACCATGTGTGCACAGTGACAGCAGAGATATCTGCCTTTATTTATTTATTTATTTAGGATCAGTAATTGTGGAGGCTTAGGCTAATAGAATAGCGCCCAGGGTGAGCACATCTTGGAGGAAGAAGGATTCCTCATACCCAGAAGACTAGGTACTGGCAGACTTTGCTTGGTGGCGTGATCTGCCCTTTCCCTGCAACCACTGGATATGGGCTGGGGTAAGCAGATACAGTAGTTTAAGACAGATGTGGGGGATACAAATTAAAAAATTAAGATAGAACCCAAAATTGCCAAGTATTTGATGCAAACCAATACACTTGAAATAGAATTATCCAACTACAAATAAAAGAAGTAATAATTTAGGAAATAGTTAATGGAACACAGATTAAGATCTGTAAGTGTAAAGAATACACTTACATACATGAGAATAATGTGCATGAGAAATGTGAAAGGTATTTTAACCATATAAAAATCAATTCGTTATCTTTGGAAATTAAAATTTTGATTAGTGAAAAAAGTATTACAGACTCAGCAGATGGGCTTAATGGCGGTGTGGATATGGCTGAAAAGTGAAATAGCTATAAGATGAAGCCACAGAATTCTTTTTTTTTTTTTTCGGGCTCCCCCCTTACAGAGGTCTGCGAGCCATGCGATAAACTTTTCTTTTTTTTCTTTTTTTTTTTTTTATTATACTTTAAGTTCTAGGGTACATGTGCACAACTTGCAGGTTTGTTACATATGTATACATGTGCCATGTTGGTGTGCTGCACCCATTAACTCGTCATTTATATTAGGTATATCTCCTAATGCTATCCCTCCCCCTCCCCCTCCCCCCACCCCACAACAGGCCCCTGTGTGTGATGTTCCCCTTCCTGTCTCCACATGTTCTCATTGTTCAATTCTCACCTGTGAGTGAGAACATGTGGTGTTTGGTTTTTTGTCCTTGCAATAGTTTGCTGAGAATGATGGTTTCCAGCTTCATCCATGTCCCTACAAAGGACATGAACTCATCCTTTTTTATGGCTGCATAGTATTCCATGGTGTATATGTGCCACATTTTCTTAATCCAGTCTATCATTGATGGACATTTGGGTTGGTTCCAAGTCTTTGCTATTGTGAATAGCACCGCAGTAAACATACGTGTGCATGTGTCTTTATAGCAGCATGATTTATAATCCTTTGGGTATATACCCAGTAATGGGATGGCTGGGTCAAATAGTATTTCTAGTTCTAGATCCCTGAGGAATTGCCACACTGTCTTCCACAGTGGTTGAACTAGTTTACAGTCCCACCAACACTGTAAAAGTGTTCCTGTTTCTCCACATCCTCTCCAGCACCTGTTGTTTCCTGACTTTTTAATGATCGCCATTCTAACTGGTGTGAGATGGTGTCTCATTATGGTTTTGATTTGCATTTCTCTGATGGCCAGTGATGATGAGCATTTTTTCATGTGTCTGTTGGCTGCAGAAATGTCTTCTTTTGAGAAGTGTCTGTTCATATCGTTTGCCCACTTTTTGATAGGGTTGTTTGTTTTTTTCTTGTAAATTTGTTTGAGTTCTTTGTAGATTCTGGATATTAGCCCTTTGTCAGATGAGTAGATTGCAAAAATTTTCTCCCATTCTGTAGGTTGCCTGTTCACTCTGATGGTAGTTTCTTTTGCTGTGCAGAAGCTCTTTAGTTTAATTAGATCCCATTTGTCAATTTTGGAAGCCATGAAATTCTTCCACGATTCAGCACAGTATGATAAAGGGACACAAAAGTACTTCATTTATTTATTTATTCAGTTAGTGTTTATTGAGAGTCTTATATGTACCAGGCACTATACTAAAGACTGATGATACAGCAGTGAACGAAACCAACTCTCTACCCTCATGGAGTTTATATTCTAGTGGGAGATGAGATTGTCAATAGACAATAAACCAACACAGGTAAATATAGACTAAATATGATCTAGGTGAGTCAGTGGAGAAAAAAGTAGGATGAAGTGGATAGAGAGGGCCAAGAAGAGGGACAAATATTTTTATTTTATTATTTATTTTGGTTTCTATTTAGTTATTTACTTGGGACAAGGTCTCTCTCTGTTACCTTGAATTCCTGGCCTCAAGCCATCCTCTTACTTCAGCCTCCCCAAGTGTTGGGATTACAGGTGTGAGCCACCATGCTCGACCTTCTGTTTTATATAATTAATCAGAGGAAGCCTTACTGATAAGGTGATTTTGAGCAGAGACCTGAAGGAAGTGAGCCCTGTAAATATCTGGGGGAAGAATGTTATTAGGCAGAGGGAAGAGCAATACATGCTAAGGCTCCATATTGAAAGCATGCTAGAAATGTTCAAGGAACAAAGAGTAAAGAGGACAGTGTGGCTGGAACCGTAAATGAGAGTGAGAATGCTAAGAAACAAGTCAGAAAAATGGTGATGTGTGTGGGGTTGAATGGGTAATTATTAGAGCCTTATCATAGCAACAGACTAGAGGACAGGATGACATAGAAGAGAGTATTGATCATGAATCATTCTTTGCTTTCTTGAATTTCATATCGTCAATTTTTTTAGTATAGAATTCAGTAGCATTCTGATTTATCAGAGCAGCTTACGTATGCAGCTTTACAAATTAAGACACTTGAAACATTCCATTAAAGATTAAGATACCTGCTTCTAAGTAATAACTTTCATGTTACTATATTGAGTGTCTTTAGTTCTTTCAGAGAAAATACTTTCTTTTGCGATTATGCAGTGATGTTAATATCATGTAATTGCTATTTTAATAGCTTTAGCAACAAGACTGGATGTGAGTAATTCATATCAAATGTGATTCTTTACTGTCTCATAAATTGGGTGATAACAAGAACTATACCATCTTGTGAACATTATTGTTTTGCTTCAACTAAAATGTTCCTTCAGTTTGGCTCTATGAAGTGTTGAATCACGAACAATAATTGCTTTTTGATCAGCTCATATTTGATGTTCTTGGGTATTAGGTTGTTATTGGATTGTTAAGAAAGAAGCTTGCATTAATTTAAGAGTTGTTTTTAGCTAACTGTGTATATATGTAATGTTAATATATATATGTACACAGTGATGGTGTAGATTTTGCTGTTTTTCATTTTACAAGTCTGCAGCTTTAGGTTAAGATCTTTTATAGATAACGAGAGATAGCAAAAAATTTCTTGGCTACTTGAAATTTTAAGATTCAGTGCTTTATATGTATATAACCTTTTAAAATTTATATTATTCTTAATTCAGTGTATGTTTTCTATTTCTCATTTTATTCTTTAACCCAAGTTACTGGCTTCCCAAGTTTTCTTTTTACTGACCAATTCTCTGAATTGAAAGTACAGCTTAATTTATATACACATGATTGGCATGGAAAGAAGGAAAATATGATTTGCTTTTGGAAACTCATACTCTACTCCTTAGCTGGGTTAAAGGAACATTGAATATAAATTTTCTTTAACCTAAATTGCTAGAATAGATTCTTATTACATAAAGAAATAATGCAGAAAACACTTGGCTTATTACATAATGATGCCCAAAAAGTGAAAAAATTCCTAAGTTTGATAGTTGATATTTATTTAACTTTTTTTCTTTAATAGATATCATAAATTGGGAACAGGATTTAATCCCAATACATTAGATAAACAGAAAGAAAGGCAAAAAGGTTTGCCAAAACAAGTTTTTGAATCTGATGAAGCTCCAGATGGCAACAGCTACCAGGATGATCAAGTAATACTTTTATTCTTAAATAACTATAAGAAGTTATTTAAAAATAGTTGTCAATTTATTAATTAATATATTTATATTTAATGTTTTGCATGACAGGATGACCTTAAAAGACGTTCAATGTCAATAGATGATACCCCAAGGGGTAGCTGGGCCTGTAGTATCTTTGACTTGAAAAATTCACTTCCTGATGCTTTGCTTCCCAATTTACTTGATCGAACTCCAAATGAAGAAATAGACCGTCAGAATGATGACCAAAGGAAATCAAACCGTCACAAAGAACTTTTTGCTTTGCATCCATCACCAGATGAGGTATAGATGTTTGCATATAAAGAAGCAAATGATTATTAAAATTGATCTTTTGGGATTATGATTGATATATAGTATTACAAAATGTAGAGGATAAAGCAACTGAAACAGCTGTAATTTTTATAAATGAATACATTTTATACTAGTGAATTTACTATTCTTAATGAGTAAGTTATAATCAAATGACTTCTGTCTGTGGATAAATAGGTCATTCTTCTCTATGTTCTATTGTGAAGACTAAAAGTGTTAGATTAGTAAAGTAAGTTCTGAAAAAGATAAAGAGTTGGAATATGATAAGCATATTCATTTTGGTGTTGCTTTTCAATTTGTAGGAAGAACCAATAGAACGGCTTAGTGTTCCTGATATACCCAAAGAACATTTTGGTCAAAGACTTCTTGTAAAATGCTTATCACTCAAGTGAGTATTTATTTCTTTTACTTACAACTTTTATTTTCCAGGATAAAATTTTAGTAGTGATGTAACAAAATCTGAGTAGATTTTATAGTTGCATTTGTGTCCTTTTGAGAAGTATTGTTCTACATGTCATTTTAAATACTATTCAGCATTCAAACGTATGTATGAAGCTGAGCCTACTGTGCTAAGCCTAACGTATTTATGAAGCTAAGCCTACTGTGTAGCAAACATAAAGTCAACTTTTAAATTCTGTATATCATTTTAAGTGCTATTCAGCATTCAAACCTATGTATGAAGCTAATCCTGCTGTTCTAAGCCTAAGATATATATGAAGCTAAGTCTGCCATATAACAAATATAAAATCAAAGAGTTGATTTTACAGTAGGCTTTGATTTTTGAAGATTTTGAAATACGTATTTTTTCCTTCTTTAAAAAACTTAGATCTGATTTCTGCTAACATCATTGAGGTGTTATGTTTACATTCTGCTTTACAAAGTGCTTTCTCTTATTTCATGCTGTCATGTTAATATTATAAGTTTAATTATTTGTTCTGACTTAAGAAAAAAGTTTCAATTCATAGAGCTTTCTGAAACAAGCAACTCATAGGGACAGACGATGTCTATATATAATTCTGGCAATTTCTTTCCTTGAAAGCTAAGGCTTTGTATATTTAGTTAGATTTATTCAGAAACATGTTAGATAGATTAAGTGCATTGAATCTTTTGAATAACAGGACACCTAACATCAGTTCTTACTTATAATCTTATTTTGTTTTTTAACAGCTTTATTGTGATCTAATTTATATATCATAAAATTAACCCTTTTAAAGTATACAAGTTAGTGGTATGTATTCACAGAGTTGCACAGCTGTCATTACTGTCTAACTTGAGAACATACTCATTACCCCAGGAAGAAACTCCTTACCTGTATCAGTCTGCTCAGGCTGCTATAACAAAATACCATAGAATGCGTAGCTGACACAGTAGAAATTTATTTCTCAGAGTTGTAGAGGCTAGAAGTCAAAGATCAGGGTGCCAGTGGGTTGGTTTCTCATGAGGCATCTCTCTCTGGCTTGCAGATGGCTGCTGCTTGCTGCATTCTCACATGACTTTTCTTCTGTGTGTGCACAGAGAGAGAGAGGTCTCTGGTATCTCTTCCTCTTCTTATAAGGATACCAGTTCCATGGAATTAGTGCCCCACTCTTAGGACCTCATTTAACCTTAATAAGCCCTAAAGGGCTTATTTCCAATTACAGTCACATTGGGGGTTAGGGCTTTAACATATGAATTTTGGGGGATGATACATTTCATACCATAACAATACCTGTTAGTAATCACTCCCTGTTCTCTCTTTTCCTCAGCACCTGACAATCACTAATTTTCTTTTTGTCTCTATGAGCTTACCCATTCTGATTATTTCATGTAAGTGGAATTATATGTGGCCATTTGTGTCTGGTTTCTTCATACAGCATAATGTTTTCAACGTTCATCTGTGTTATAGCATATATGAGTGGGTTTTTTTTTTGTTTTTTTTTTTTTGAGACGGAGTCTCACTCTGTTGCCCATGTTGCCCAGGCTGGAGTGCAGTGGTGCGATCTCGGCTTACTGCAACCTCCGCCTCCCGGGTTCAAGCGATTCTCCTGCCTCAGCCCCCTGAGTAGCTGGGATTACAGGTGCATGTCACCACGCCTGGCTAATTTTTTGTATTTTTAGTAGAGATGAGGTTTCACCACGTTGGCCAGGATGGTCTCGATCTCCTGACCTCGTGTTCTGCCTGCCTCAGCCTCCCAAAGTGCTGGGATTACAGGTGTGAGCCACCACGCCTGGCCGAGTAGTTTATTTTTTTGTATGACTGAACAATATTCCACTGTGTGGATACACCACTTTTTGTTAATCCATTTATCAGTCAGTGAGCATTTGGGTTGTTTCTACTTTAAAAAGAAAAATAGCTTTATTGAGGTATAATTCACGTATTATGTGGTTCACTCAGTGTATATTCAGTGTACAGTTCACCAGTGAATTCACCCAGTTCACCAAGCATACAATTCAGTGGATTTCAGTATATTCTTAGATTTGTGCAACTATTATTGCAATAAATTTTAGAGTTCTTTCATCATCCCAAAAAGAAATCTCATATTTGTTAATAGTAAGTGCCTCTTTTCCTCAACTCCTCCATCCGTAGGCAACCACTGTCCTACTTTCTGTCTCTACAGATTTGCTTATTCTGATTATTTCCTATAAATGGAATCATGCAATATGTAGTCCTTTTTGTTTTTTTTTTTTAAACTTAGTTTTCCTAGTGTTTTTAAGGCTTGTGCTGTAACATGTGTCAGTACTACCATTTCTTTTTCATTGCTGAGTGATATTCCATTGATGCATATGCCACATTCTATTTATCTATTAATCAGTAATGATTGCTTCCACTTTTTGGCTAAGTTGATAATTTGTATATAGGTTTTTGTGGGACACGTGTTTTCATTTCTCTTGGGTATATACCTAGGATAGGAATTATGGTTAGTATAGTAACTCCATGTTTAACTTTTGGAGGAATTATCCAGACTGTTTTCCAAAGCAGCTGCACCATTTTACATTACCACTAGCAAGTTAGGATGATTCTAATTTCTCCACGTTTTCACCAATATTTGTTATTATCTGTTTTTTTTATCATAACCATTCTAGTGGGTGTAAAGTGGTGTGTCATTGTAGCTTTACTTATGATCTTCTTGATTAATAAAAGTTACAAGTTTATTTCTCTCAGAGAAATAAAATATAGAATGATTTTTTTGTACAACTATTTAACTTTTGTTTGTCTCTCATTAAAAATTCTAAAGTAATAATTATATACATCTGATTTGTCTATGATAAGAAAAGTCCAGGTTTAAAGTGAGGAAGAACTTGAGGTCACAGAAGTTCAGAAACAGTCAGAAATGATAGCTTTACTTTAGCTAACTATAGAAACTGATATATTTTTGAAAATCATTTCTCTTACATTTTGTTCCCTAAGAACAGCCTTCCTTTATCCTGGATGAGAACATTATTTCTACTATTAAGAAGACTATTTGTCAGTAACATAGTGATTTATACATTCAGGGGAATATCTTCTAGGCATGGTCAAGTTGATATGAATTTAGCCAAGAAATGCTAAGAAATCATAATTTCCCAGGAGTAAGTGTTCTGTAGCTAATTTTACATTAGGGCTGTTGCTCATCCTGGTTTTAATGGGCTACAAGGGAAAGAGCTTGGCATGCAAGGAGGATGGAAATGCTCCTGCATAAATGCCTAACACCAGATTTCATGAGAGTAATATTAGAAATAGTAGTGATATTTGTTTGCTGCAACTTCGGCTCTGGCAGGGAAAAGTCAGACAGGAAACAGGAAAAAATAAAAAGAGAAAGCTCTTGAGAATTCCAGGTCATAAGCTTACCTACTATATGTGTGGCTCAAAAAATTCCAAGGCAAAAGTTTAGTTTAAAGTGGTTCTAGATTGCAGTGGCCCTAGGTACCTGGCAGAAGCATACATCAATTAATTGTTTTTAGAGGAATTCACTTTAAAAATATAGGCCTTAAAATATTTCTACAGGTAAAGTTTCAGCTCCAGTCGTAAATCAACAAACATGGCAAAACAAACTGCAGACCTGAAGAGGACTACCAATCAGATTTAGAATATAAGTACTTTTAATATATTTAAGTAAATAATTATTTTAAAATATTATAAAGGAACAAGAGACTCTCAGAATTGACCAGGAAGATTTTTAAAAGGATTCATTTGATCTTTTTCAAGATTTTATAATTAAAATTATAAATCCATTTAGATGGGCTCAACGTAGATTAGATAAAACTGAAGACTGAATAAGTGAACTTGATGATAAAACTGAACAAATTTATACAAAATGTACACAAAGATGTAAATAGATGGAAAATAAAGTGATATCAACAAAAAGTCTAATTTGAATTCTAGAATGGAAATAACTTAGGGAAGAAGAAAACAATTATTGAAGAGATAATGGCTGACAATTGTTCAGAATTTATGAAACATAGTAGTAACTCTCAATTCTGGATGTCTAGTAGGATCTAGGAAGAATAAATAAAAAGAAATTCATATCCAGACTAAACATAGTAAAAATGGAGAATACAAAACCAAGAAACTGTATTAAAAGCGGCCAGAGAGAAAAAGAGATCCTATGCAAAGAAATTACAATTAGCCTAACAGCTGATTTATCACAGCAGCAATGGAAGCCAGAAGACATTGAGTGTTATCTTCAGTGTTGTTAAGAGAAAATAATTGTTGACCACAAACTTCATACCCAGTAAAATTACCTTTCAACAAACACATTCTTGAAGCAGTTAGTTTTTGCTGCACTGTAAACCACCTTAAGATGTAATGTTTTAAAAAAACAAATGTTCAGTATTTCTCATAATTCTGTGGGTTATCTGGGTAGTTCTTGTAGTCTGGGCCAATTTGGTTGGGACTGGATGATCTATAAAGGAGTTGTGCATGTCTGGTAGTTAGCAGGCAGGTTGGTCTAGGAGTCTCTCTTTTATATATTTGGCAGTTGGCTTAATGTCAACTGGGAAAGTAGCTATGCTTTTCCCATTGTCCAGTGGGCTGACCTGGGCTTGTTCATGTAGTGGTGGAAGGGTTTTCAGAAAAAGGAGAGTGGAAGCTGTAAGACCTCTTGTGGCCTTGGATTAAAACTCTTACAGCATATCATTTATTGATCAAAACAAATCACAAGGGTAGCCTGAATTCAAGGTATGGAGAAATAGACTTTTCTTAATGGGAGGATCTGCAAAGAATTTGCATTCATTTTTTTGAAATCTGCAAATGATGAGGTAAATAACTTTTTATACTGATAAAAATTGTTAGTGTTTTCTACAATACTTTATCACTAAAAATGTAACTTCTAAAGGAATTACTTCAGGAAGAAAGATTTTAGGTAGAAGAATGATGAACAAAGAAATTGAAAAACATAAAGATAAACCTGTGTTTGTGGTAATAGAGTCTAGTTTATGAGGTTAAAATAATTAAGATAGAACAAAATCAATAACACAATGTATAAATTGGGGGTTGATTAGGGTTGAAACATTCTAAGATCTTACTGTTTGGGAGAATAATAAAGATATTGATATTTTAAAACTTAACTATGTACTTTAAAAGTTCTTGAGTAACCATTAAAAAAATAGAAATGTAAATTATAGGCAAAGGAGAAAAACTGGCTTGAAAGTGGAACTATAAGTCAGTCCAAGAGAAAGAAGTCAAGAATGGAAAAACACTTAGAAAAAGTAGAACAGGCCAGGCACGGTGGCTCACGCCTATAATCCCAGCACTTTGGGAGGCCGAGGCGGACAGATCACCTGAGGTCAGGAGTTCAAGCCTGGACAACATGGTAAAACCCATCTCCACTAAAAATACAAAAAATTAGCCGGGCATGTTGGCATGCATCTGTAATCCCAGCTACTCGGGAGGCTGAGGCAGGAGAATCGCTTGAACCCAGGAGGCGGAGGTTTCAGTGAGTAGAGATCACACCATTGCACTCCAGCCTGGGTGACAGAGCAAGACTCCGTCTCAAAAAAAAAAAAAGAAAAAGTAAACAATTAAAAAAAGCTGCTAGAAATGAATCCAAATATAAGTCTTAAGAATAAGTATAAATGGACTAAACTATCCATTTAAGAGACAGATTATCGGATTGCATTAAAAAAAAACCCAGTTACATGTCTTTTATTAAAGAACAGGCAATCCATGTAAAACATAAGCACCCAGAAAGATTGAAAGTAAAAATATATATTACGATATAATGGCAAATATTAACCTAATGAAAGCTGAGGGAACAATATTAACGTCTTACAAAATTGACTTTAAGTCAAAACAGAGGGTCAACACATATTGATAAAATGTTAAAAACTGTACTATAATTGTTTGTAAGCAAATGTGAAAACACACCCAATTTAGCCTTTCCCAGGTGGCTGCCAAAGTTGGGAGGGGGAAGGCCCTGGTGCATGAGGCTGAGGCCATCTCCGGGTTGCCCAGCGGCCATTGTGGCCAAGCAGGTACTGCTGGGCTGGAAGGTGGTGATCATGTGTTGCGAGGGCATCCACATTTCTGGCAATTTCTACAGAAACAAGTTAAAGTACCTGGCCTTCCTCTGCAAGTAGATGAACACCAATCCTTTCTGAGGACCCTACCATTTCCAAGCCCCCAGCCACCTCTTTTGGTGGACCATGTGAAGCATGCTGCCCCACAAGACCAAGTGAGGCCAGGCTGCTTTGGACCACCTCAAGATGTTTGATGGGATCCCACTCCCCTATGACAAAAAGTGGACTGTGGTTCCTGCTGCCCTCAAGGTTGTGTGCCTGAAGCCTGTGAGAAAGTTTGCCTACCTGGGGCTCCTGGCTCATGGTGTTGGCTGGAAGTACCAGGCAGTGACAGCCACCATGGAGAAGAAGAGAAAGAAGAAAGCTAAGATCCACTACTGGAAGAAAAGACAGCTCATGAGTCTATAGAAACAGGCCAAAAGAACATGGAGAAGAAAACTGACAAATACATAGAGGTCCTCAAGAGCCATGGACTCCTGGTCTGAGTCCAATAAAGACTGTTTACGCCTCATGCTTGGCCTGGCCTGCCCTTCTTTCACTGCTGCCCTGGGATGTGGGGGATCCAGGAGGGGCAGTCCAGGTGCCACAGGCAGCCTGGGATGTAGGAAGCTGGGGGCAAGGAACAGACCTTAGTCACTGCCTTTCTATAAGGTTACTTTAAGCCACTCTAAGAATTGTGCAGACATAATTTGTCTATGACCTACTTGTTCATGAAAGAATTTTAGAAGATCAGTAGTAGGAACAACCAGCTACTTTGGTTTCAGTAGTAGTAGCACAAGGGAGCTGGAACACTATTTGGAGGGGAACTCTACCTTGTGAATAGGGCATCTGTTTTAACTTCCCACCTGGTCATATGCTATACTCTGTAGCTGCTAGAATGTGAAACAACGCATGGGGGACAGCATGAGTTTGCTGTTGTACAAAGGGTATTTATAGACACATAGACTGGGAACATGTGCAACCAAGAGGTTATAGGCGTTGCCCTTGCTCCTTCCCTGTATTTTGTGATCAGAATCAAATAAATCACTTTGAAAGGGAACAAATACACACACACACACTTAATTTTTTCTTTCTTTTTTTTGAGACGGGGTCTTGCTTTGTTGCCAGGCTGGAGTGCAATGGCAGAATCTCGGCTCACTGCAACCTCCGCCTCCCGGGTTCAAGTGATTCTCCTGCCTCAGCCTCCCTAGTAGCTGGGACTACAGGCGCCTGCCACCATGCCTGGCTAATTTTTTGTATTTTTAGTAGAGACGGGGTTTCCCCATGTTGGCCATGTTGGCCAGGATGGTCTCGGTCTCTTGATCTCGTGATCCACCTGCCTCGGCCTCCCAAAGTGCTGGGATTACAGGAGTGAGCCACCGTGCCCAGCCCACACACTTAATTTTCAAAAGACCTAACAAATAAGCCACATCTTATTAGTAATGTCTTATGGTAGGCCTTTGGTGATTAAAAAATGTTTTTTTCTTTCATCGTTGTAAGTATTCTCAACATTTTAAATAAGTGAGTATGTAGAGTGGTACATTTATAGTGAATAAAAAATACCTGTTTTGCAGCATAATAGCCATTGAGTATTGCTCAGCAAGTAGCATTTCTTGAAACATGCCTATGTTTGATAGTATAAAAATAATGTGGCATTCATTTTTTTTGCAGTTGCTCAAATTGTGTACTGAATCCATGAGGAATATACTTAAAAAAAAAAAAGAAAAAACTCTACATATACATTTTTGGCAGTTTAAATTCTTGTCTACTTAAAGTAGAGCTCACTGGATTTGTGTTGGTTTCTTCAGTTTATTTTCTCCAGAGTTCCATCCTTTGTTCATGATAGTAATAATATGGATCTTTAAATGCGGTTTAAAAATATTATAAAGTTATTGGCCGGGCCCGGTGGCTCACGCCTGTAATCCCAGCACTTTGGGAGGCCGAGGCAGGTGGATCACCAGGTCAGGAGATCAAGACCATCCTGGCTAACACAGTGAACCCTCTACTAAAAATACAAAAAATTGGCTGGGTGTGGTGGCATGCGCCTGTAATCCCAGCTACTCGGGAGGCTGAGGCAGGAGAATGGCGTGAACCCAGGAGGTGGAGCTTGCAGTGAGCCGAGATCGAGCCACTGCACTCCAGCCTGGGCGACAGAGCGAGACTCCATCTCAAAAAAAAAAAAAAAAAAAAAAAAAAGAGTATTACAAAGTTTGCACTAAGTTACACATTGGGATACTAATTTTCTTTCTTTTAAAAAATTAGAAATTGGATCTTGCTGTGTTTCCTAGGCTGGTCTTGAACTCCTGGCCTCAAGCGATCCTCCCACCTTGGCCTCTAATTTTCTGAATAAGTAAATTAGCATTTCACTTTGATTTGCTTTTGTTTATTTTTAGCTGAATCTATAATTTATATGAAAATACAAAGGGCCAAAAGAGGCAGGACAGTTTTGAAGAACTTTATTTAAAAAAACCCAACCAGATATCAAGACTAGTATGAAACTATGTAATTAAGATGGTATAGTATTGGTACATGATTAGACAACTAGAGCACTGGAGTAGAGGAAAGAGCTAGAAAAGTCTGTACTTGATATATTCCCACTTTATATACAGTAGTACTCTACAAACATGTAAATATTTTGCCAAATGAATGCTGTTAATATTATGTAAAATTATTTCATTAAACATTTATTACTTCAACTAAAAAAAAAGAGCTAAAAAAGGACCTACATGTTTATGCATTTTTGATTTGTAATAACAGTGGACGTTTTTTATAGTATGGAAAGGGTAATCCTTTCAATAAATTGGCAGGACAGTTGGATATCTGTTTCTCCCCCCTGCTTTCCTCTCTTTGTGTCTATCTGTCTTGTCTATGTATGTGTTTCTCATATATATATATAATTTGTATCATGGGAGGCAGTGGTCAAGTTTCCTATTTTCATATCTATATATATATATTCATGAAAATATATATTCATGAAAAAATATATATATTCATGAAAATATATATTCATGAAAAAATATATATTCATGAAAATATATATTCATGAAAATATATATTCATGAAAAAATATATATATTCATGAAAATATATATTCATATATATAGATATGAAAATAGGAAACTTGACCACTGCCTCCCATGATACACAAAATTTTTTTTACAGATAGAGAGTAGACATAAATGTGAAGGACAAAATGGTAAAGTTTCCAGAAGATAATGTAGGGATATCTTTATGATCTTATAGAAAGAAAAATATTTCTTTGACATGACACAGAAAGCACTACCCCTAGAAGAAAACATTGACACATTTTACTTCATTAAAATGGACAACTTTCGTTCATCGAAAGGCGCAAGAGAAGATAAATCATAGAGAAGGAGAAGGTATTTCCAACACATATACTTGGCAGTGTGCTCATTTCTAGAATGCATAAAGAACAACAAATTCATGAGGAAAGAGTCAAACAATAAATAGAAAAATGGGCCAACCGAAAATATCCCAATGGTCAGTGAATAGATGAAAAGATTCCCATTAAAAATCCAGTGGGATACTGCTTATTTACTGGATTGGCCAAAATAAATGGACCGACAGTATCAAAATGATGCAGAGTAGGTTTTGTAGAGGTTGACACGTGGACAGGATCACCAAGATCTCTTTTCATTTGACTTGTAGTTGGGTTTTACTAAGGGATGTATCAGCAGGAAGTTAGAGGGTAGAAGAGAGTTCCCTGCTGAGTCACTTAGATCTGTTGCCTCTTTCTTTCCAAGGCCAGTTCCTGTGAAGGACCTTCGGTATAGCTATCTTTTCTAATTTTTGGTTATTACTTCCATGTTCTCTTTTAGGTCTATGGTTGGTAATGACTTGCTTTTGCTAGCCCCAGGGAATGGCACTCTGTAGTTGTTTCCTCAAGATCCTGTCCAAATCCTTGTAAATGTCCCTTTATTAAAGTCTCACCCTAATGTAAATATGTTGTGTATTTTCTACAAGGTCCTCGATTCTCTTTTAATACCATGCAATGTGGAGCAGGGTTATTACAATGTCAGCACTATTGACTTTTTTGTCTAGATGGTTCTTTGTTGTCAGGGACTGTCCTGTACAGCGTAGGATGTTCAGTCATATCTCTGACTTCTAACTGCTAAGTGACAGTAATACTCCTGTAGTTTCGATAACCAAAAATGTATGTAGGTATTGCCAAATGTTCCCTTGGGGGCAAAATTGTCCTTCATTGAGAACCTCTACTCTAGAGTTTTAGTTAACCTCACATTATATATTATTTCATTCAACAAATATTTACTAGATGTTTACTGTATGTAAGTCATTGTTCTTAGAAATGAGTTAGACATCTCAATTAAGTATACAATTTTGCCGTATTCATATAATGGGAATTACTATGCCAGCATTAAAAAAGATGGTAAGAATAATATTTATAACGTGAAAATTTGTCCACAAAATGTTAAGTTAAAAAAGCAGACTACAAATTATGTATACTGTGACACTGTTTAAAAAAATTTGTTTGGCAAGTGCATTTATGCATAAAGTCTAGATGGATTAGGCATTAAACTGTTAATTATGATTCTTTGGATGCTCCTGTTTTCCTCTGAATATTCATGTGTTTTCTAAGATTTTTGCATTGAATATATTATTTATAATCTGAAAAAGAAAACATTAGGCTTTTATTTTTAAAACTTATTTAAAAATGAACATATCTACATATATAAGTGACCATGTTAGAAAGTGATTAGTGCCTCAGAATGGACATAATATGTCATTAGGCTTTTAGGTAGTTTGAGTTTATTTGTAGCTGGATAAATTAATTAGGATTAACTAGAGAAGATAAGGTTGATTTAGACTCTGAACGATATGCATAGAAGAGTGTATTTCAAGAAGAAGTTTTAATATAGGCAAAGGCACAGGTGTAGAAAACTGCCAAGTATTGTGATAATTTAGTTTTGGAATCAATTTCTCTCCAACTGTGTATTTCATGTTTATCTTTAAATTATTTTATCCTTTTTCTTCATAAAGGTTTGAAATTGAAATTGAACCCATTTTTGCAAGTTTGGCTTTATATGATGTCAAGGAAAAGAAAAAGGTAAGATTATATAATTTGACCATAGTTATTTGTCATAATCATTGGTTTCAGAAACCTGTTTGTTTTATAAGATTGATTTTTTTTGAGAACTGTTAAACATAGATCTTTTTAAAAAGGAAATAGAAATTTAACTTATTAGGACTAGTTAAATATTTTCTTATAAATTACTGTAATTGAAAACAGGTTATTGTTTCACTGAAAGAGTGTTAAAAGCAAATAGCAGAAGCAACTTTAAGAAATAGAAAAGACAATATAAGAAAATCACTTTTGGCAAGCAGTACATAACAATAGGAATGACAATGACAGTGAATTTTTATTGACATGATTTTCAAATTCTCACCAGCGCAAGCTCCGCCTCCCAGGTTCACGCCATTTTCCTGTCTCAGCCTCCCGAGTAGCTGGGACTACAGGCGCCCGCCACTACGCCCAGCTAACTTTTTGTATTTTTAGTAGAGATGGGATTTCACCGTGTTAGCCAGGATGATCTCGATCTTCTGACCTCGTGATCCGCCCATCTTGGCCTCCCAAAGTGCTGGGATTACAGGCGTGTCAGAAGGTTATTTTACAACATTTCTTAATTTAATATTCTAAGACTAATATGTAGTAGAAACTTGAAGTGCTGGCCGGGTGCTTGTGGCTCACATCTGTAATTGCAGCACTTTGGCAGGCCAAAGTGGGAGAATTGCTTGAGGCCAGGAGTTCAAGACCGGCCTGGGCAACATAGTGAGACCACCCCCCGCCCGGCCCCGCCATTGCTACTAAAAACAATTTAAAATTAAAAAAAGAAAAAAGGAAACTTGAAGTGCCTTCAGTGGCTTCTGCTGCCAACACAAGACATATTATGGATTTCTTTAATGGAATTCTGCTCTAGCAACTTTTATTTGCTAACTCGAAACTGCTGGGATATTATTCATAAATTTTTTTAAAAGTCACTTTGGAATCCATCATCTCAATGATAATTTCTTTGTATACTTTATTAGAGGTTACTTTTTTTTTTTTTTGAGATTGAGTCTTGCTCTTTTGCCAGGCTGGAGTGTAGTGGCGCGATCTCGGCTCACTGCAGCCTCTACCTCCCAGGTTCAAGCGATTCCCCTGGCTCAGCCTCCCGAGTAGCTGGGACTATAGGCGCCTGCCACCATGCCCGGCTAATTTTTTGTATTTTAGTAGAGATGGGGTTTCCCCATTTTGGCCAGGATGATCTCAATCTCCTGACCTTGATCCCCTCACCTCTAATTAAAAGAATTTGGAATATGGTTGTTTAGAATATGCTTATTATGTTTTCCAAATAGCTTGTTTACTTTTTTTACTTTGATTTAGGTATGTAAAGATTGGTCTCAGTGAAATATAAACTTTACATGAGAGTATAATATCCTACTATCTGTAGATAAATAAGTAATTTTTTTGAGAATTATTTAACATGAATGTTTTTAAAAAGAAAATAGAAATTTAATTTATTAAGATTAAATGTTTTCTTATTATAATTACTGTAATTGAAAACAGATTATTGTTTCATTGAAAGAGTTCTAAAAGTAAGTAGCAGAAGCAGCTTTCTTTTAAGAAATAGACACTGTAAAATGTACATATTTTAAAGTTTAACATACTAATATTTTTTAGATTTCAGAAAACTTTTATTTTGACCTTAATTCTGAGCAGATGAAAGGGTTGTTACGTCCACATGTACCACCTGCTGCCATTACTACCCTGGCAAGATCAGCAATTTTTTCTATCACTTATCCTTCCCAAGATGTTTTTCTTGTAATAAAGGTGAGAATAATGTTAAATATATTTGTTTATTTTGTAGTGTCTGTATACTTGTCTGTCAGTATTATAAACTTTTCAAGGGCAAAGATTTGACCTTTACATATTTTTTTCATCTTGATATTCTTTAACACAATATTGGACATACACAGTAGGTGCTACCTAATTTTTCTTGAACTCTTTATTAGAATTCTCCAGTGAAACAGAACTAATAGGAATTATATATATATCTTAGATCTGTTTTGATTATTGTAGTTTATAAATACATTTTCATATCAGGAAGTATGAGACTTTCAACTTTCTTCTTTTTTCCCTAAATTTGTTTTGATTATTCAGGGTCTCTTGAATTTCCCTATGAATTCTAGGATGGGTTTTTCTATTTCTGCAAAAAAAAAAAAAAAAAACATTGAGATTTTGATAAGGATTGCATTAAGCTTATAGATTGCTTTGGGTAGTTTTGACATCTTAATGATATCAAATCTTTTCAGTCCATGAACACAGGATTTCTTTTCATTTATTTGTGCCTAATTTAACTTCTCTCAGCAATGTTTTATAGTCTTCAGTGTATATAGATCCTTTACTTTCTTGGTTAAGTTTATTTGTAAGTATCTTACTCTTTTTGATGGTATTATAAATGAAATTTTTTTTTAAATTTCCTTTTTCGATTCCTCATTGCTAGTATATAGATTTTGTATCCTGTAACTTTGTTGAATTCATTTATTAGTTCTAACAGTTTTTTGTGTGGCATCTTTAAAGTTTTCTACATAAAAGATCATAGCATTTGCGAGATAATTTTACTTCTTCCTTTCCAATTCAGATGCTTTACGTATTTTTCTTGTTTAGTTCTCAGGCTTGGGCTTCCATTACTATGCCTAATAGGTGAGGCTAATGTGGGCATTCTTGTCTTGTTCATGATGTTAGAGGAAAAGCTTTCAGTCTTTAACCATTGAGTATGATGTTAACTGTGGGCTTTTCATATATGGCCTTTATTATGGTAGTTTCTTTGCATTACTACTTTGTTGAGCGTTTCTGCCATGAAAGAGTACTGAATTTTGTCTAATGTTTGTTCTACAGCAATTGAGATGTCATATATTTTTTTCTGTCATTCTGTTAATGTGTTATATTGATTTTCGTATATTGAACCATCCTTGAATTTCAGGCTTTTAAAAGCTTAATCTTAACTTTTTTTGCCTTTGACAGCTAGAAAAAGTCCTACAGCAAGGAGACATTGGAGAGTGTGCAGAACCATATATGATTTTCAAAGAAGCAGATGCCACCAAGGTAGAATGTTATGCTTCTCATTTCCGCCACATTATTACTATTGTAACTTGGGAGAATACTATTCTCCCAATAGCATTTTATATGCAATAGCAATTAATAGCTTTAATATGCAACAAAGCATATTAAGGAATTTTACTAGTACTATATTTTTTTCTGTTTGCCCACTTCCTATCTTCCTTTCTTCTTTATTTAATTTGTCACCTAGCCTGTGTCATATGTTTCATATGCTGTGGTATTCTTTAAAAATCTCTTCTATCTCAAAACTAACTGACTCTTTACATTTTTTTCTTCATGGAGAGAACTAAATTAATTCAGTTTAACTCCTGAATTATTAAAGGTTTTCTTTATTTATAAAATAGTGATATTGACAGAACTTTTCCTAGCAAAATAGAAGTATTCTTGTCTTCCATCTGACTGCAGATTATTAAGGAATATAGTAAAAATATAATAGTCTTTAAAAAAAGAAAATACAGCCTTTTTTTGCCATCAGATGGCTAATTTCTAGATTTTTTTTTTCTTTTGAGACATAGTCTTGCTCTGTCACCCAAGCTGGAGTCCAGTGGCAGGATCTTGGCCCACTGCAACCTCCGCTTCCTGGGTTCAAGTGATTCTCCTGCCTCAGCCTCCCAAGCAGCTCAAATTACAGGCATGTGCCACCACACCCAGCTAATTTTTGTATTTTTAGTAGAGATGGGGTTTTACCATGTTGGTCAGGCTGGTCTTGAACTCCTGAACTCAAGTGATCCACCTCCCTCAGCCTCCCAAAGTGCTGGGATTACAGATGTGAGCCACCATACCCAGCCTAATTGCTAGAATGTGTATAAACTTATAAAAGCAAAAAAAAAGTTGGATAATTGATAACAAATTTCAGATACTATGGGTTAGCTACAAGAATACAAGTGATCTTTGGATCTTTGAACACAAGATTTAATACTGGAACTTCTGGGAGAAGTATGCTTGAGGAATACTGGGTAAGCAACCCAAACCCAGAAAATGTTTTGCTATTTTCCCAAGATTCATAACAAGAACTGAGCTTTTTCTGTAGATCTGAGCACATGATATTTTTTTCTTGATCCTTGATTACCTGGCTGAACTAATGGTTTAAGTATAGTATTCTGGCTGTCCCCAGGTTGTCATTTTACATTAAATTTGCTCTGTTACATAGTGCTCTTAAATATACTAGCAGCTTATTCTGCTTTTTACTTATATTTACATACACTGATAGAATTAAGTATACTTGAAATATACTTAAAATAAGAACTGTTTTAAGGGTATAGTAGAGATAGTAATAGTGCTATCATTTAGTTATCGTTTCATCTTTTTCTAGCCCTGAGTCCCAAGGTAGGACACTGTCATTAGTGTATACTTCAACATCCCATCTGCAAAGAGTATATGAGAGAGGTAGTATAGGTTTCAGTCTTGAGTGTTGATTGGCTTTTGCAGGCCACCTCTTGATGTTTGTTTCAGGAGTAGCCTAAAAGTTGAGCCAGCCTCAAGATGTCTTCCAGATATGCTTGTACTATTAAATATTTGGACCGTTAGTCTTTTTCCAGCGTTTAGTCTTCTTCTACTTTCCTTTTTACTTTTTACTTTCCTTCTTTTGTTACAACTCTGAGCTTGTTTATCATTGGCCTATTCGTGCTTCCCCACTCTTAACTCATGGTTGTTATATGTTAGGGACTATTTCAAATGTGCTCAGCTACTTCCATCTTTTATAGAGTAACAAAATTTAACAAATTATAACTAGAATATTTTGTAGTTACCAGTTGCTGACTAGACCATGGTTATACTTCCTAAAACAATACTTGGAATACATAATACATGTTTGGTACTTACTCTCTTCTCCCCAGAATAACATAATCACAAATAGAAATTTCAAAGACCTGCTCTGTACGTACATTTGTAGAATGTGTTGAGTTTGTTCACTGGTTAAGATATTGCACTAATACTTCATCTCTGTAAGGTACAGATTTTTTTCTCATCTCTGCTGAGAATTGAGACTTCTCATCCTTTTCCTTTATGTAGTATGAAATAGCCTTTAACTGATTTCTTTCAAGTATAATCATATAATGTATAAAGTTCTGTTTTGCAGAATAAAGAAAAACTGGAGAAACTGAAGAGTCAAGCAGATCAGTTTTGCCAAAGACTTGGGAAATATCGCATGCCTTTTGCTTGGACTGCAATCCATTTAATGAATATTGTTAGCAGTGCTGGGAGTTTGGAAAGAGATTCTACAGAAGTAGAAATCAGTACTGGAGGTAAGAGTGTTTCATACAAAACATTTCTAAATGTTTACTTTTTTCTTTTTTTTTTGAGATGGAGTTTCGCTCTATGGCCTAGGCTGGAGGGCAGTGGCACGATCTTGGCTCACTGCAACCTTTGCCACCGGGGTTCAAGCAATTCTCCTGCCTCAGCCTCCTGAGTAGCTGAGATTACAGATGTGCGCCACCACGCCTGGCTAATTTTTGTATTTTTAGTAGAGATGGGGTTTCACCATTTTGGCCAAACTGGTCTCGAACTCCTGACCTCAAGTGATCTGCCTGCCTCGGCCTCCCAAAATGCTGGGATTATAGATGTGAGCCACCATGCCCGGCCTCTTTTTTCTTATATAAGCTTGTTTCATTTGTAGACTCTGCAATGTAATATTGCATAAAAAGGATTTTCTTTTTTCTTTTTTTTTGCCTTTTTCTCATTTAACACCATTATTAAGATATAATTCACATACCATATAAGTCACCAATTTAAATTGTACAATACAGGAGATCTTCAAATATCTCATTTTGTTTTTGATTTTTTATAATGTTGATGAGGAAACAAATTGATTCCTGGCTGGAGCTACTGTCTGTGTAGAGTTTGCATGTTCTCCCCAAGTCTGTGTGGGGAGTTTTGGGTACTCATTTCCTCCCAAATCCCAAAGCTGTGTGCATGAGGTTAATTGGCATGTCTTAAGTGGTAGCAGCGTAAGGTAACATGGGTGTGTGTGTGTGAGTGCACCTGTGATGGAATAGCGTCCTGTCCAGGACAGGTGCCTGCCTGTCGTGCGGGACCCCTATTGACTTTGGTAAGTATAACATCATATCACAGGCTGAAGAAGAGATGGGGAGCCAGAGAATGAGACATAGGGTTTACTGAGGGAACTTACATGCAGAGTGGCGAGCTGGACCGAAAACCACAGCCACTTGAAAAAGCATGCAGTTTATGTAGCATTTTCACTTAGCATCCTCCCCCTAGTAACTTCTACCTGGAAACCCTCATTTAACCCAAAACAAAGGGCCTTGATTCCATGTATGGCCTAGATTTCACTGGATGGGCTAGAAGTTCAGATGTCCTTATTCTCATAGATAAGGAATGAGTCTTCAAGTTTGGCCACTCCCAGGTTCCTTAGCTCGGAACTCCGAATACACATTCTTTTTAGACCATAGGGTCATTCTCAGGGCTTGCTTAAGTTACTGCTGTCGGGTGCATTTGCCATACACTGCCTTCTTTCATGCGCTGCTGGAACAGGCTTCGGCCATTTGTGACCCTGAACTGGGATAATTGGGTAAATAATTATCCTACTTATTTTTATTAATCTTTCTTAAATGTATGTACAGTGCACATTTATTTGAATGTTTAATATTAGAAGTGTTTTGAATATTTAGAAGTTTGGTTAAGTTTTTGTGACCAGAAATATGCTGTAGGGACTTAACTCTTGCTTATATTGATTAGCATGTGGTAAAATTGATTTGTTATACAACGTGTTGCTTAAAGTCACAGTTTTGAAGAACTGATCCATGATGTTAAATGAGGACTTACTGTGCAGTGTTTTCTTGGTATATTCACAGGGTTCTGCAACCACTGCTACAGAATACTTCTGTATCCATCTTGGAACACTTTTGTACCCATTAGCAGTGGTCACTCCTCATTCCCCCAGAGTCTTGCAACCTGTCCCTAAACAACCTTTAATATATATTCTGTCTCTATAGATTTGTCTATGCCAGACATTTCATACATATTGACTTGTATAATATGTAGTCTTTTGTGGCTAGCTTCTTTCACTTGCCATAATGTTTTTCAGGTTCATCCATGTCGTAGCATGTATTGGTATTATTTATTTTTATTGCCAAATGATAGTCTGTTGTATTGATATACTATATTTATTTATCAGTTGATTTGGGTTTTCTACTTTTAGTTTATTATGCATAATGTTTCATAGTGTTGAAACGTCATTTACAAGCTTTCGTGTGGACATTTTTTTTCCTTAGATATGTAGATATATAGCTAGGAGTGAAATTGCTGGGTCATATGATAATTCTGTGCTTAATCTTTTGAAGGACTGCCACACTGTTTTCCAATTTGGCTGCACCTTCAAAAATTCCACTAGCATTCCACTAGTGTGTGAAGGTTCCAGTTTCAGCATATCTTTACCAGTGTAACATATTATCTGCTCTTTGATTGTAGTCATTCTAGTGCAAGTGAAGTGGTACTCATTGTAGGTTGGATTTACCTTTTCTTAAAAGCTAGCGATATTAAGCATCATTTTGTGTGTATTGGCTATTTGTGTATCTTTCTTGGAGTAATAGGTATTTTTAACCTTTGCTCATTTTTTAATGGCTTTGGTCTTTTTATTATTTATTAATAGTTGATGCCTATTTTTTAAATGGGGTTTTAACCTTCTTGGCATTGAGTTGTAGGAGTTCTTTATATGTTCAAGATGCAAATTCCTTGCCTAATATATGATAGCAAATTTTCTCCTAGTCTGTGAGTTCACTTTTCTTGATGGTATTGTTCGTAGCACAGAAGTTTTAAATTTTGAGGAAGTTACATTTTTCTATTTTTTTCTTTTGTCACTGTGCTTTTGGTGTTTTATCTAAGAAACCATTATGTAATATGAATCAAAATTTACTTGTATGTATTCTTGTAAGAGTTTTATAGTTTCAGCTGTTACATTTAGGTTTATAATAATCCATTTTGAGTTAATATTTGTATGTTGTGAGGTAGTCCAATTTCATTCTTTTTATGTGGATATCCAGTTGTTTCAGCACCATTTATTAAAAAGGCTATTCTTTTCCCATTGAATTTTCTTAGATCCCTTATTGAAAGTCAATTGACCATTCATGTGGGATTTATTTCTGGACTCTCCATCCCATTCCACTGATCTGTATGCCAGTGCTTTACTGCAGGGGTTCCTAATCCCCAGGTGGCGGACAGGTACCTGTCCTGCCTGTTAGGATCCGGGCCGTAGAGCAGTAGGTGAGCAGCAGCTGAGCTAGCATTATCGCCTGAGCTCTGCCTCCTCTCAGATCAGTAGTGGCATTAGATTCTGGTAGGAGCATGAACCCTATTGTGAGCTGCACATGCAGGGGATCTAGGTTACGTGCACCTTATGGGACTCTAATGATAAATGTAATGCGCTTTAATCATCCTGAAACGATCCCCACAACCCCATCTGTGGAAAAATTTTTTTCCATGAAACCAGTCCTTGGTGCCAGAAAGGTTGGGGACCGCTGCTATACCAAATTACTTTACCTTTGAAGGCTAAGTTTTGAAATTGAGAAGAGTGGGTCTTCCAGCTTTTATCCTGTTTCAAGATTTGTTTTGGCAATTTTGGGTTTCTTTTATTTCCATATAAATTTAGGACCAGCTGTCAGTTTGTGCACAAAGGCATCTGGGATTTTGATAGGGCTGACATTGAATCTCTAAGTCAATTTATAGATTGTTGCCATTTTAACAATTTTAAATCTTTGAATCTATGAACATGAAATTTTTTTCATTTATTTAAATCTTTTTCATTTTTTTCAGTGTTGTGTCATTTTCAGTGTACAAGTCCTTCTCTTGTTAAATTTATACCGTAGTATTTTATCGTTTCTTGATAATATTTTAAATGGAATTGTTTTCTTAATTCTGTCTTTAGAAAGTCCATTTCTAGTGTATAGAAATAAAATTGGCTTTTGTATATTGATCTTATACTCTGAACCCTTTTTGAATTTGTTTACTAAATTCGAATTGTTATTGTTCGTTTTTTTCCCCAGATTTTTTAGGATTTTCTGTATACAAAACCGTGTCATCTGCAAATAAAAAGTAGTTCACTTTTCTTTTTCAGTCTGGGTGCCTTTTATTTCTTTCTCTTTTCTGTCTTTATTAGAACCTCTTCTGCAATGTTTTAGAAATGACAAGAGTGGATATCCTTGTCTTATTCTTGACTTTAGGGAAAATGCAATCAGTCTTTCACCATCAAGTATGATATTTGCTGTTGGCTTTTCATAGATGTATTTTGGTAGATTGAGGAAGTTCTCTTCTATCCCTAATTTTTAAAAGTGTTTTTATCATGAAAGTCTGTTAGATTTTGTAAAATACTTTTTCTGCCTCTATTAGAATTATTTGTCCTGTATCCTTTTAATGTGGTGTTGCATCGAATGATGTGGTTTTTGGATGTTAAATTAACCTTAAATTCCTGGGAAAAGTCTTGCTTGGTCATGGCATGTAATCTTTTTTATGTGTTGTTGGAGTCTGTTTGCTAGTATTTTGTTCAGGATTTTTGCATCTATATTCATAAGGTATATTAGTCTGTAGTTTTTCTTTCTTTTGATGACTCTGTCTGGTTTTGGTATCAGGGTAATACTGGCCTCATAGAATGAGTTGTGAAGTGTTCCTTCCATTTTTTTGGAAGGGTTTTTGAAGGATTGGTATTCTTTGAAAGTTTGGAAGAATTCACCAGTGAACCTGTCATGGCCTGGTCTTTTCTTTGTGGTAAGTTTTTTCATTACTAACTCGATCTCTTTACTTGTTTTAGGTCTATTCACATTTTCTTTCATCTTGAGTCAGTTTTAATATAAATACTTTGAATCTTTCTAGAAATTTGTCCATTTCATCAAAGTTATCTAGTTGGTATCTAATCTAAGTGTTGGCCTACAGTTGTTCATAGTATTGCTGTATATTCCTTTATTCCTTTTACTCTGTAAAGTCTGTAAATGATATCTCTTCTTTCATTCCTGATTTTAGTAATTTGAGTCTTTTTTTTTTTGGTTCATCATTTTAGCTAAAGATTTGTCGGGTTTATCTTTTTGAACAAACAGTTTTTGGTTTAATTGATTTTTCTGTATGGTTTTTATAGTTTCTATTTTCCTTATTTCCACTCTGCAGTTGCCTCTTGTAGCCTTCTGCTGGTTTCGGATTTTTTTTCTCTTCTTTTGTAGTTTGTAGTTTGTTGAAGTCTGAGGTTATATTACTGATTTGAGATAGTTCTTTTTAAAATAGACATTAATAGCTGTAAATCCTCCCCCGAGCACTGCTTTAGCAATGCTTTGGTATGTTGTTCTTGCATTTTCATACATCTTAAATACTTCCTAATTTCTATTATTCCTTCTTTTTCCATTAGCTATTTTTTAAATGGGCTATTATACTTACATACATTTGTGAATTCCCCAAATTTTCTTCTGTTATTGATTTATAGTTTAATTCTTCTGTTGTTGGAGAACATTTTTATATGATTTTAATCTCTTTGAATGTATTGTATGTTGTTTTATGGCTTAGTATATAGACTGTTTTAGAGAATATTTTCTAAGTGCTTGACAAGAATGTATATTCTGCTCTTGCTTAGTGTACTTTAGTGTAGTGTAAATGTCCATTAGGTCTAGTTTGTTTATAGTTTTGTGCAAGTATTCTATTTCCTTGTTAATCTTCAGTCTAGTTCTGTTGGTTTTAAATAATAGGATTATCTTGCAAGTACTTTGAATACAAATTATCTTACAATTCTCTTTCAAACTAAAGAGCTAAGACTGAGGGAAGATTAACGATGACTAAAATTTTCCTGTGGTAAACATTTTGTAGTAAATGCATACTTCCTCTATAGCTGCTCTTTGTGGCTCATCATTGGTCATGCCCATAGATCTTTGCATGTTAGAAACTTATTTTTACACCTGTGATGTTGTAAAAAGACAACCAGAAGATTTAGGTACTTTCTTACTAATCTCTCCAAAAGCAAAATTCTCCTACTATACTTGATATGCTGAGTGGGTAATTTTCAATTTAGTAGATTCTTCCTTGTGTTTGGAAAGCTACTTTAAAACAAAATTTAACTTCTATGAAAATGAATTTTTTTTTTAATTCTTTTGTAGAACGAAAAGGGTCTTGGTCAGAGAGGAGGAATTCTAGTATTGTTGGCAGACGATCACTTGAAAGGACAACAAGTGGAGATGATGCTTGTAACTTGACGAGCTTTCGACCAGCTACTCTCACAGTGACAAATTTTTTTAAGCAGGTATTGTTCTGTCATGTAGGAATTTTGGGGAGATGTTTGTGCATAAATTTTTTTAATTTCAGAAAGGTAGTGATTGTACTATACATGTATGGGAGGGTGATTCCAAGAAACTTAAAAACTTTAAGAATAAAAATAATAAAAGCAACTATAAGAATGAGAAACGATTTATATTGTTCCTATTATTTTAGCATTATATTTATTTAAATGTTGAAATGTTGACCATGACTAATAATGCATCAAAATCCATCTTTCATACCTGTATCCTGTTTTTTTTTGTTTTTTTTTCTTGAGACAGAGTCTCGCTCTGTTGCCCAGGCTGGAGTGCAGAGACAGATCTCGGCTCACTGCAACCTCCGCCTCCCAGGTTCAAGCAGTTCTCCCTGCCTCAGCCTCCTGAGTAGCTGGGATTGCAGGCACCCACCATGCCTGGCCAATTTTTGTATTTTTTAGTAGAGACAGGATACTAAATGTTGGCCAGGCTGGTCTCGAACTCCTGACCTCATGATCCACCCTCCTCGGCTTCCCAGCTGGGATTACAGGTGTGAGCCACCATGTCCAGCCTGTATCCTATTTCCAAATTGTTAATAGTGTAACTTTTCTTAAACATTGGTTGTTTATGAATTTTCTTTATGAGAATGAGTATGTGGCCTACATGTCTTCCCCACACAAGTATTTCTGGCCTAAACTACCATATTCATAATATGTGAAATAGAACTTTCAGGCCCTAGGAGTGCATTTTGTGCTAAAATGAGGTCAGTGTTATTTTTAGAGGTGAATGTATGGATCCAAGACATTCTCTATCAAAGATATTTTACTCTTTGCAAACCTGTTCCCTTCACTTTTAACCATGAGTCAAATCTGTATTTTTCCAATGCCAGTCATGATTCTTAATGATAATGAAAATTAGCTTAGTAGATGACACCCAGGTTAAAAAAGAAAAGAAAACACGAGTAGAATAGAAAAAATAGTGCACTGCATGTAGTAAGGTTAAATATTGCTTTAGGGAGTCGTTCCCCCCCTCCCCCTTTTGTATGAGTGTACACATGTGTATATGTATATACTAGATTTTGATGTAAAATGGATTCTGTGTCATGAATCAAGATCAGAAAATTTTGAAAGTCTTTGTTGTAAGTGACTAGGTGACTAGAACCATATAAGAATGGGGAGAAAATTTGTATTAGCGTAACAAACTGGAGTAGTACATGTTTTGGAGTGGATTAAGGGAAAATGCTAGTAATTCCTTCAAAATTCCATTTTCTGAGATGTTATTCTGAGTAAGAAGAGGAAATCCTGGCTTACTGATATCTCATAACTTGAGAGGGCAAGAATTGAGGGTAGACCTCAATTGAATGGACCTTGAATAGACAGATAGCAATCTACTTGAAGTCCCCTTCACTGTTACATATCAGTAGTATTCATGGGCATCTGCTCTGAGAAACTCACAGGAAAAAAAGCCAGTGATAAATGTCTCAAATGGTATTGGTCTTTTTATTATGGACAGTAGTAAAAGAGAGTCTAGAGAAGACTGCACTTTCATAAAGTGATAGACCAGATATAGCTAGGAAATGGGGTAATAGATTTGCTACAGTGACACAACCTTGCAGGTATGTTACTTCCCCCTCTTTCTACTTCTTCAGCTGCTACACCACTTCTGTTGGTATTTCCACAGCTTTCTTTTCATTTCTTCAGCCTGCTGTTTATCAATAAATTGGTATTATAAGCATAAATCAATAAGCCATCTACCCCCTATCTATTTATCCAACCAGTATTTTTTGAGCATTCATCACCATGTTCTGGACACTGTTTTGAATACTGTTACTATAACTGGGAAGTAGCACAAAATGATTATGAAAACTTAAAAATAAATGATTGCTGGAAACATGGAGCAGTGGAAAATGTTTACAGTACAGAAACTGTTTAATATGGTTCTGTATTAAAAATTTTTAACCATGAGCATATACTATTTTTGTAACTATTTTTAAGTAGCTAGAAAATTATGCATCAGGCAAATGCAAATTAAGTTAAAAAAAGAGATTACCATTTTAATTAAGTAGAATTCAAGGCACAGATTTTTCCCTAAATGAGACACAGAAGGCAGTTTTTTCTTTTTCAGTTTATGAGCGATTACTGTCTACAGTAGGGATATAGTAATCATTAGTGTTTATGTACAGATTTAAAATGTGTTGGCCAGGCATGTCGGCTCATGCCTGTAATCCCAGCCCTTTAGGAGGCCAAGGCTGGGGGGTCGCTTGAGCCTAAGAGTTCAAGACCAGCCTGGGCAACATGGTGAGACCTTGTTTCTGGGTTTTTTGTTTTTGTTTTTGTTTTTGTTTTTGAGTCTTGCTCTCTCACCCAGGCTGGAGTGCAGTGGCACAGTCTCGGCTCACTGTAAGCTCCGCCTCCTGGGTTCATGCCATTCTCCTGTCTCAGCCTCCCGAGTAGCTGGGACTACAGGCGCCTGCCACCATGCCTGGCTAATTTTTTGTATTTTTAGTAGAGACAGGGTTTCACCGTGTTGGCCAAGATGGTCTCGATCTCCTAACCTTGTGATCCGTCCGTCTCAGCCTCCCAAAGTGCTGGGATTACAGGCGTGAGACGCCGTGCCTGGCCGACCTTGTTTCTATAAAAATAAAAAATATTAGCCGGCCATGTTGGTGTATACCTGTAGTCCCAGCTACTTGGGAGGCTGAGACGGGAGAATTGCTTGAGCCCAGGAGGTTGAGGCTGCAGTGAGCAATTATAATGCCACTGTATTCCAGCCTGGGTGACAAAGTGAGGCCTTGTCTCAAAATAAATAAATAAATAAAATGTGTGAAGTCAAAATTATTAGAAATACATAGATATTTAAAAAAAAAATCAAACCCACACAATAGTTTTGAAGACATTTGTTCTATTTGTTGACAGATATATGTTATCTATTTTTTTCAGTGGTACAGGACAGTAAACAACCAATGTAGAGGAAAGGGTATCAGCTAGACTACTCCAGTGAACTAGGCTCATTCACAAGTTTGGAGGTTGGCTGAGATCAGCTAATATAGGCTGACTTCTACTGGGAAGACAGAAATGACTCAGCTCTGTGACATGTCTCTCAAATTCTACTGTCATCTTCTAGCAGGCTAGCTTGGTCATGTGCTCATAGCTCTGACAAAAGTTCAAGAGAGAGAGCAAACTAAATTGTGCAAATGTTTTTCAAGCCTCTGTTTGCATCATGTTTGCTTATTGGCAAAGCAAGGCATGTGGCCAGGCCTAGGGAGGGAATTGTGCTTCACTCACCAAAAAGGCATGGAAACAGGGAGTAAAGAATGGAGACCAATAAGTACCGAAAGAGAAAATATAATTTAATGGGTGAAATAGAAATAATGAAGACTAGAAATAATCTGAATATATTATGAATAAGGACCATTTAAAAATTAATTTCATGTGTTGGCAACTTGGTCTCAAAAAATTTATATTATTTCTGTATGCACAAGAAAAGAATATACTTTTTCAACAACTGATAGAACATTTACAATAATTAGTTATATTGGGTCACTGAAGAAACCTTGTAAAGTCAGATTTTCTAACCATAACTCAATAAAACTAAAAGCTTTTTAAGTTATTAATAAAAAACTATAACCACTTAGAAATTAAGAATTATTTTTTCTAAATAGTGAGATAAAAGAAGATCAATTCTATATCCTTGTTTAGAATATAATGATGAAGAGCAAATGGGTTGTGGCTCAAGGTGAGTTGACAGTAATAAAGTAGCCTCAAATATATGCATTACCAAATAAGATAAAAGAACAATATATGAAATATGCATAAAACAATAAAATCTCAAAGCAGGAAGATTGGATTGATAAAATCTAAAGACTGACTCTTTAATAAAAGAAAAACTCTAGCTATTTTAATTGTAAGAAGAAAAAATATTAACATTAAATTGAACATTTGTGTTAATCGGCTATGGGTAATTTGTTTTGTGTTTTTCAAGGTCTCTTCATATTGGTTGAAGTCCTTTTGGAGTTTTCTTTCTGGCCTTAGTATGAGGACAGTTGTGATTTTCCTTAACAGTAGTTTCTTCCTCCTCCTATTCCTCCTCCCCCTCCCTCCCTCGTCTAAATCCTTCCTCCCTCTTCTTCCTCTCTCTTCCTCCTTTCTTCCTTCTTCTCCTCCTCACCTTAGCCAGTGCTGCAGATTTTGCATTGGAGAAATTTGTGATATAAAGTTGAAAACACAAATATGAACTAAAAAGTAATAAATTTATGAGACTCAAGTATTTTTATATTAGTTTGCTTTTTGATTCTGTTTTATGTCTGTGTTCTTATTTTTCTCTTCTCTTTTTCATCTATCTCTAACTTGTATTGGTTTTCTTTCCTTTTTTTTTTTTTTTTTTTTTGAGACGGAGTCTTTTTCTGTCATCCAGGCTGGAGTGCAGTGGTGCGAACTCAGCTCACTGCAAGCTCCGCCTCCCGAGTTCACGCCATTCTCCTGCCTCAGCCTCCCGAGTAGCTGGGACTGCAGGCGCCTGCCATCCCGCCCGGCTAATTTTTTTTTGTATTTTTTAGTAGAGACAGGGTTTCACTGTGTTGGCCAGGATGGTCTCGATCTCCTGACCTCATGGTCCGCCCGCCTCGGCCTCCCAAAGTGCTGGGATTACAGGCGTGAGCCACTGCACCCGGCCAGTAACTTGTATTGGTTTTCTATATTTGAGAGTATTTTGTAATACTTTATAGGCATAGATAATGGACTATAAATAAGAAAAAAGACAGTGGTATTATTAAATCTTAGTAAAATTTGAAAGCATAAAAAAGGAAATAAACTGGTATGATATTTATAATCATAATTTTAATTTAATTTTTTATTCTAACTACATTGTAGGCATAAGGGCATGCTTACTAACAAACTATAAATTTATTTTTCATCATATATATATCTTTATTTATTTATTTATTTATTTTTATTTTTGAGACAGAGTCTTGCTCCATCACCCCAGCTAGAGTGCAGTGATGTGATCTTGGCTCACTGCAACCTCCATCTCCCGTGATTCTCCTGCCTCAGCCTCCCATGTAGCTGGGACTACAGACACGTGCCACCATGCCTGGCTAATTTTTTTTGTATTTTTAGTAGAGACGGGGTTTCACCATGTTGGCCAGGCTGGTTTCAAACTCTTGACCTCATATGATCCGCCCGCCTCAGCCTCCCAAAGTGCTAGGATTACAGGCGTGAGCCACTGTGCCTGGCTATATTTGTTTTATCAAATACTTTTTCCTCTATTATTGAAATCAGGAAGGAGACCGCTTAAGTGATGAAGATCTCTACAAATTCCTTGCTGATATGAGAAGGCCATCTTCTGTCTTACGGCGACTAAGACCTATTACAGGTATTTAAAAATTTTGAGTAGAAATGGTTGCAACTATTATTATCACTACTATGTTGTATTGCTTATAATTATGTATCTTTTTTTTTTATTTATCTGGCCCAGACATTTTTCTATGCCCAATGCCTGTCAGTCTTCTTCACTTTATTAACTATCATGTGATCTGACAGTTTGGATGCAGGATTCAGCATCTTTGGTACTTTGAGTGCAGTAGTCCCCACTTACCTATTGTTTCTCTTTCCGTAGTTTCAGTTACCTGTAGTCAACCACGATGTGAAAATATTAAGATATTTGGAGAGAGGAACAGGGAGAAAGAGACCACATTCATGTAACATTTATTATAGTATATTGTTATAATTGCTCTGTTTTATTATGAGTTAGGGTTATTAATCTCTTACTTTGCCTAATTTATAAATTTAACTTTATTGTAGGCATGTATGTATAGGGAAAAACAGTATCTATAAGGTTGGGTACTGTCTGCAGTTTCAGGCATCCACTAGGGGTTGGGTCTTAAAATATATCCCCAGCGGGGGATGGAAGGAATTACTATACTAAAGTGAGTGTGATGAATAATATCATGGCTTAAAATTATTTTCTAGAATGGTAATAGAATGGTAAATATTAAAAAATAGATTCATATTATGATTGGAGCAAACCATTCCAGAGTAAAAATGTCTTAAAGTTTGCTAAGTCAAAACTAAGTCTTTTAATCTTTGAAATGACTTAGCTTGTTCCTATGCCAGATCCCTCTGGTTTTTTTTTCTATTTTTGCTTCTTCCTTCCTTCATTCCCATTCATTTATTTAATAAGCATTTATTATTTTACGTGCATTTATGTCTGGATCGGTAATTTTTAAGTTTGAGACTTTGCAAAATGAAATGATTTAGAGGCATGAGATGATAATAATATAAATTTGGTTTCTGTAATATTCTTCCCAGACTTCTTGCAAAAATAGGATCCAAGTCCTTTAAAAAACATGTTTAACGTGGACTTTTTTATTGTCTTTACATTGTTTTTTAATATATAATTTGCAGCTCAGCTCAAGATAGACATTTCTCCCGCACCTGAAAATCCCCATTATTGCCTAACTCCGGAGCTGCTTCAAGTGAAGCTTTACCCTGACAGTAGAGTTAGACCTACCAGAGAAATCTTAGAGTTTCCCGCAAGGGATGTTTATGTTCCAAACACTACTTACAGGTAAGAGATTTTAATTTGGAGAATTCTGATAGAAGATACTGTATATTCTAAAATATTAAAGTATAACTAGAATAAACTCTCCAAAAATCTTAAGTAGTTTTGTTACTTAACTCTATCTCTTACCGCACAATTTTATTAATAGTTTTCACGTATTAAGGCTTTCTGTGTGTCAGGTATAATGTTAATTACCTTACATGCTTTATCTTTTTTAGTCTTATTTAATCCTCATTATTTGAGGTGGATTTTACTTTTATTTTAGAGGTGAGTAAACCAAGGGTTAGAGAGGTTAAACATTTTGCTGAGCATCACACCTTAGTGTGATGGTGATGGGATTTGATTCCTGGGCCTTTAGGTTAAAACATTTGAACTCCTAATTACTATGTTTTCTCAAATGTTTTTAGTAGCAGAATCTAGCATTACACAAGAATCAAATTTATGTGCCTGCATTATGTTCTAATAAATCAACAATATTTGTTGAGTATATCCTATCTAGAGAATACTTGACATGACGTTGTCAGATATAACTTTTCAGACTGAACATTACATAACTCTGGGGGTGCCATTTGCATGTACTCCTTATGAATGATATACCCTTTATTTGTGAATGCCGAGACCAGAACTTGACATGTCTGTTGGGATATTCAGTAGGGCAGCTCAGGTATAAGATTCTAAAACAGAAATTTGGATTTCATCCTAGACTTCCCCATCCTAGTATATTTTTACCACCATTTACCAAGTTCCTGAGGACAAAATTTTTGGAATTATTATGATTTCTCTCCTTTCCTACCCCTCACATTTATTCAGCCAACAAGTTACATAGGCTCTACTTCCAAAATATATCCTGATCTGTACTTCTTACTACTTCCACCTTTTAAAAATTCTAGTCTGTCACCATCTAGATCAGCACTGTGAAACAGAAATATAATGGGAACCACATTTGCAATTTAAAATTTTATAATTGCTACATTAAAAAAAAGAAACAGGTAAAGTTAATTTTAATCATATATGTCATTGAAACCAGTGTATCTAAAGTATTATCATTTCAACATGTAATAAATGTTAAGAATTATTGAGATATTTTACTTCTGTTCTCTTCTGCTAACTTCAAAATCTAGTGTGTATTTTATAGTTAAAGCACATTTCAATTCAGATGAGCCACATTTCAAGTGCTTAATAACCACCTGGGGCTAAAGGCTACCATATTAGACAGTCTCTGATCTTGAATTTTGCTATCCTTACTAATTTGGCTATCTTATTTCTACTCCTGTCTCAGTCACTTCTCAACATTGCAGCCAGAGAATTCTTTGAAAATTGTAAATCAAATCATTCATTCCTGTGTCTGAAATTCTCCAGTGCTTCTATTACAAACAGAAAAAGAATGAATTTTTTCTAACAGTCTATAAGACACTGCATGAGTTGGCTCCTTTTCTATGTGTTAGTGCTAAAACTCTCTGTAAAACCTCTTATAGTACAGTGAAATACATCAACAATCAATTATTTCCTCCCTTGCAGAGGAAGTTTTGTAGGCTTTTTAGGCTTACTGTACAATTGTCATCTTAGAGCCTATTTACCATTATCCTGGACATTTTCTTTGCATTTTTTTTTTTTTTTGCAATAGAGTCCTTATTTTTCATGTATTTTCCTTAGTTTGCTCATTTCACTGAAAGCTTTCGTATCTTTCTTAAATAGGATGTGTGGGAGGTAAATTTTCTTTTATGTCTGACAGTATCTTTACCTTTACTCTCAAATTAATAGTTTTGCCAGGTATAAAATTCTAAATTCTATATCATTTTCTATCATAACTTTGAAAATATAACTACTGTCTTCTGGCTTTAAGCAGTACCCTTGAGTAGTCCAATATTATACTGATTGCTAATCTTTTGCGTCTTATTTTGCCCTAAGACTTTTTGAATTATTTTCTTTATCACTGGTGTTCTGAAATTTCGTGTTGACATATTGATATGATGACATTTATTTAGTGCTTTATAGAATATAATTTCATTTAAATTAGTTTATTCAGTCTCATAGAAATCTTATACATTACATAATTCTGGCAGTATTATTGTCTCCACTTCTCTACTGACAGAAGGCTGAATTAAGAGACTTGTTTGGACTTGAACCCAAGCCTTCTTACTTCATTTTCTGTGTTCTTCATCTTTTGGAATGTTAGGACATCCAGCATTCATAATTATATATAATTTGAATAAAAATAAAATTTCTCATTGGTAGAGAATTGTTTGCTACATTTTTATTAAAACAGAACACTTTTATCTTACATTAGCCTCAAAATCTACACCATTATTTATATTTGTTTAATTTTTTTTAATGTCTTACAGTTGATGTAAGTGATACACTTGATATAAATGGATTCTAGGGTATCTTTTCTGTGAATTAATGGAAAAAGAGCCAATATAGATAATCCAGACATGTTACAGAACTTAAATGGGAATTGAGTAATGCGCTCATACCAAGTGAGAAGATACCGTGCCAAATAAGGCAGCACGTTGTTTTCTCTTAAGGATGTATCCAGTTTTAATGTAACATCCTCTTCTGGAGGAGATAAAAAGTTCATACATCAAATGATTTAAGGGGATTTTATAAATTATAAGTTAGTATGGTTTTGCTTTTTGAGTTTAATGGAAATTATGTAAACATGTATTAGTGCTTGTTTAAGATCATTTGTTTATTTGGGTTTGCTTTTGGTTTTTAGGGTGGAATGCTTTCTCACTTGAAGTGGTTAGTATTGGTAAGGCTAAGTGATAGTCCAAAAACTATAATTAGTTTCTATTCTGGGAGTTAAATTTTTCAAGTATAAAAATGAATTATAGCATATTAATTTGAGAATGATGTTGAGAGATCATTTAACGTATCTCAGTGCCTTTAGTTTGGACTGTATCTAGACATTCTATTAATTACAGAGTTAATACTCATTCCAGACATTATTAGTAAAAATAATATTGTAGGCAAGAAGCTTTTAAAAAAGGACTCATTAAATGTTTATAGAATAACCATTTTTCTCTCATGAGTGAACAGTTTATTTCCAGAGAATAATAGAACTTGCTAAGCTCATCATAAAGATTAGAGTTACTCCTATTTAACTTTTATTGAATATGAATACTGATTTAGGCTTTAATGTTTTTCATCAAAATGAATTGATTTCAGATTAGGGCTTTACATAACCTTATTCCTCCTTATATACAGTTTGTAAGGAACTTATATAAAATGCTTTAACCTGTTAACAGACATTGGTTAAATGTGATATAGAATGTCAAGGCTAAGTTTCTTAGTTTATGGAAATGATCCTAGTGCTCTGTTAGTAGCAAGTACCAGTGAGAACTGTTGGAGCAAAAAGGATGCATTATTTTAAGAAAGCGATTAATAATTTTCTAGTATAAGAGTATCCTCAGTGAAGTAGAGAAAATTAGATACTACATGAAAATTCAGAAGTAGAATTGTGATTACTATACTTGGTTGACTTTTTTCCTGTTGTTACTGTTTTGCCAAATAGTTTCTTTAACAAAATATGATTATAAAGTTGACCATTCCCTTTTAAAAATAATCTCCAAATTACATAAAGAAATAATAATTTTTGTGTTACTTGAAATGGTACGACTATATGTGTAGCTTATGAAAAATTGGGAGATGGGCTCTCGTAACCTGTATTTTGTAACCATGTTTCATTTTTAGGAATTACAGTAAGTTCTCACTTAAAATTGTTAATAGGTTCTTGGAAACTAAGGTTTTAAGCTAAATGACATGTGACGAAACCATTTTTTTTCCAGTCAATGTTATAACAAAACAATGCTGAACAAAATGATATTATTCAAGAACCTGCTGCACATGGTCCTTAAAGTCCTTCTCTTAAAGTCACAGTTTCCAAGAACATTATCCAGTGTCACAGTAGCTATGACATTAGGTGAGGACTTACTGTATTTAAAATTGAGGAATGATTTTTCCTTCCTTTAACATGGGTATAATAAAAGTACCTATATCTTAGAAATCTATGGGGATTAAATATGTGTAAAGTGCATGTCACAAAGTAATGCAGTACATATTAAATGCTCAATAGAAGTTGTTATTGTTTTTGGCTTTATTAGATTACATTTACTCATGCACTATACAACTTGAGAGAGATTGGTTTGAAAAGCATGAGGGTACTAGGCATCTGGGGTATAATTGGATAAGAGAATTATTTTAAAAGGGAGATTATCAGAGTCAATATTGGCCTGCTTTGTATTATTAGACCATCAATGTCCATGGGACCTTAAAACCAAATCATTAAAAGTTGTTTATTCTATTTGATGCTGTTAGAAAAACTTGGCCTTATGGACAGCTTATATGTTTAGGAACTGATAGTTTATTTTAAAAAAAAACAAAAACCTTAAGCATATCTAGAAACCTAGCATAGGTAGAAATAATTTTGGAATGACGAAAAGGGATGTATGACAACCTCAGCAGCTGACAGCTAATATACAAATATCATCAATAATTTACAGAAAGTTCCATAAATATTTGCTAACTGAATGGTTATGCTGGATCATGGTGATGATAATCTTTTAGCTCATTTGGATTCTTTTTGCCTTCTCAGGAATGTTTCAGGATAAGACATAATTTGTGATAATACATACCAGTGGTCACTATACAAATATTTGTGTACACATTTTCCCAGTGAATAATGTTAAAAAAAAGGAAGATAAAGTTGACACTAGGGCTCCTTTTAGTTTATATATGGCCATTATCTATTAACTCTGATAGCAGCCTGCACAGAACCAATGTGGTTATCCCTATTTTATAGATGACAAAGCTGAAGTTCAGGGGGTTCAAATTTATATCTGAAAAAAATAGGAATTTAAGCATTGTTCATGTGTGTTTTAAGAAAATATTTCCATATTGTATTTAGTTTTAGTGAGAAACTTGAGAGGATTGTAAAGGGTCTCATAGGGAAAAAATTAAAAACTGCATGAATATAGGGGGAATGAATGGACATCATTGAAGCATTTGACTGAGTTGAGAAATCGTAGGAAAGAGAACTGTATTCTGAAAGTGACAGATTTCCTATACACCTTTCACTTCTCATTTTTATGTTCGTTATCAGATAATTCAGAGAAAGCTGTCTAAAGAGGTCTATATTAGTTTAATTTACTTTTATTATGTACACTTTAAAAAATATTCTTTTGAAGATGTTGAGTCTTCTTAAAGACTTAAATCTGTTATTTAAGTTATACCTGAAGCTAGAGATTTTCACCTTTAAATAACAAACTCTGTCGTTCCCCGCGCCTCCCTACCTCCCACACACAGCTGGTCACATTTATTTGCATAGGGTTAACTGAAGAGGGGCCTGATCTTTTCAAATTCTCTACAGGGGTAGATGAAGATACACAAATATATGGTAGTTTCTAACAATCAGAAAATGAATGACTTGTTTCTTACTGCACCATACAAGTGGGGTTTACATCAAATTCTTGCTTTATCAAGGAAGTACTTACCCTATCACAGTATTTTAGAAAAAGTACTAGTGTAATTGTTAACATTAAGTAAACCAAATAAAGATCTTTCTCAATGGTGAAAAAAATCTTTTATTGGATATTTGAAATCATCTGAAAGTTAGGTAATAGATTGTATGCAATGTTACTTGTGTTCCAAATTTTTACTTGATCACCACTGTTGTATTTGAGTTGTAATAGATCAAGGTACATTAATTGAGCAAATGCTTATGTGTTTTACTGACATCCAGTTTTTAAGAGGTATGTCCACAGAACACATGGTATTCTTGGCAGGATTGTTAGAGTTAGCCGCATTTCCAGTAATGGCCTTAGTTGTAATCACCTGTTGAATGTTTGTATCTTTGTTTTTCTACTTAGTATTTTTGAAAGACTATATCTAGCAAACATGGTGCGTTACTAAGAATGTAAGAATGAATACAATGGTTCAGACCTGGTAACTGTCAGGGTGAGAAACAAAAGGATTTTGGTCTGTTAGGAATATGCCCATACATCTCTTAATAAATTTTAGTAAATCTATTTTCTCTGATCTAATCTGAATATAGTTTTAAACTTTTATTATGGAAAATTATAAAAGTAAAGGGAACAAATTAATACACCTACACCTAAAATTAATACACCTAAAAGTAAAGAGAACAGATTAATTTTTTTTTTAATTTTATTTTACTTTAAGTTCCGGGATACAAGTGCAGAATGTGCAGATTTGTTACATAGGTATACGTGTGCCATGGTGGTTTGCTGTACCTATCAATCTGTTATCTAGGTTTTAAGCCCCACGTGTATTAGCTATTTGTCCTAATGCTCTCCCTCCCTTGCACCCAACCCCCTGACTGTCCCCAGTCTGTGTTGTTCCCTCACTGTGCCCATATATTCTCATTAGAGAACAGATTAATTAACTTGCATTGTCATTTTTGTGTTATCTGTTACTTGTCCTGTCTTTTGTTTTGTTGGTAATATTTTTGAAGCAAAGCCTAGACATCCTATCATTTCACTTGAAAATCCTTCAGTATGTATCTCTAACAGATAAGGACTTTTTTGTGTGTTTGTGTGTGACAGAATCTTGCTCTGATGCCCTGTCTGGAATACAGTGGCATGATCTTGGTTCACTGCAACCTCTGCCTCCCGGGTTCAAGCAATTTTCCTGCCTCAGCCTCCCAAGTAGGTGGGACTACAGGTGCAAGCCACCACACCCAGCTAATTTTTTTTTTTTTTTTGTATTTTTACTAGAGATGGGATTTCACTGTGTTGGCCAGGCATGTCTCGAACTCCTGACCTCAGGTGATCCGCCCACCTCAGCCTACCAAAGTGCTGGGATTACAGGCATGAACCACCATGCCTGGCCAGATAAGGACTTTTAAAAGTTAACCTCAATAACAAATGAAATGTTTTATGATCTCTTTAGAATTTTACTATCATCAGTTTTTTTTTCTTGAGTAGTTGAATAAGCTTATTATATACTGATTAAATTTTTTTTCCTAAAATATTGTTTCAAGGAAGAGCTTGGCCAGTCAGAATATGTGTGCTGTTGATGTTATGACATGAGAGCCATGTAATTCATGTTTCTTAAACTAGGTTATTACATGACAGTAGGTCCTTTGAACATGGGCTGCTAATTTTTTTGTGTACCATGGTACCTTGTGGTCGTCTTGTGAATCCTGTGATACCCTTTTTTGAAATATATATTGAGCATCCCAAATCTGAAAATCCAAAATCTTAAATGCTCCAAAATCCAAAACATTTCAAGCACCCATATGATACTCAAAGAAGATCTCGTTGAAGCATTTTGGATTTTCAGATTTGAGGTCGCTCAACCGTGAGTATAAAGATATTCCAAAATCCAAAACAAATATGAAATTTGAAAGACTTCTGGTCTTAAGCATTTTGAATAAGGGATACTCAATCTGTAATGTTTAAATGTTTTTAAATGCATGAAATAAAATATATAGAATAACAAAGGAAATCAGTTACATTGAATTAAAATTATCAAAATATTAAAGTTGTGATATATGTGTTTATTGATGAATGAAATAACATGATCTGGCCTCAGGTTAAAAAACTATTGTATTTTCTAAATAGTAATAAGCATCAACAATATTTTGAGATGTCTATAATAGTTGTGATATAAAAATATGTATGTTTCAAATTAGTTCAACCATTGTGGAAGACAGTGTGGCGATTCCTCAAGGAACTAGAACTAGAAATACCATTTGACCCAGTAATCCCATTATTGGGTATATATTCAAAGGATTATAAATCATTCTACTATAAAGACACATGCACACATGTTTATTGCAGCACTATTCACAATAACAAAGACTTGGAACCAACCCAAATGCCCATCAATGATAGACTGGATGAAGAAAATGTGGCACATATACACCATGGAATACTATGCAGCCATAAAAAAGGATGAGTTCATGTCCTTTGTAGGGACATGGATGAAGCTGGAAACCATCATTCTCAGCAAACTAACACAGGAACAGAAAACCAAACACCACATGTTCTCACTCATAAGTGGGAGCTAAACAATGAGAACACATGGACACAGGGAAAGGAACATCACACACTGGGACCTGTCGGGGTGGGGCTAGGGGAGGGATAGCATTAGGAGAAATACCTAATGTAGATGACGGGTTGATGGGTGCAGCAAACCACCATACCACGTGTATACCTATGTAACAAAACTGCACGTTCTGCGCATGTATCCCAGAACTTAAAGTATAATAATAATAATAATAATAGTAAATGTATGTTTCTATTAATGACAAAATCTTATATACTGGTAATACTGCTGTGGTTGGTTTACTACATTCATAATTTAAGGAAGTATAAATTTCAGCTGAACGTTACTGAAAATTCAGGAGCATTTTTTTTTCTATTCAAGTGTATGGTTCTCTGCTTCAGAAAGTATTGGTTTTTGTTTTTATTTTTAGAGTTCATAGATGTCTCAAGCTACTGCCACATACTCTGCTATTTTGGTTTTGTCCTTGTTATACCACTCTGAGTTTTATTCTATCGAATTGGTCCTAGTTTATTTTAACTATAAAAACTGAGTCGGCTGGGCGCGGGGGCTCACGCCTGTAATCTTAGCACTTTGGGAGGCCGAGGAAGGCGGATCACGAGGTCAGGAGTTCGGGACCAGCCTGACCAACATGATGAAACTCCGTCTCTACTAAAAATACAAAAATTAGCCAGGCATGGTGGCACATACCTGTAATCCTAGCTACTCAGGAGTCTGAGGCAGGAGAATCACTTGAACCCAGGAGGCGGAGGTTGCAGAGAGCTGAGATCACTCAGCTCACTGTGCAGTGCCACTGCACTCCAGCCTGGGTGACAGAGCGAGACTCCATCTCGAAAAAAAAAAGAATTCTGAGTCAAGAGCTCTATTTCCTAACATTTTAACATAGCCACCCAGAAGTTTTTAGTTAGGGGCTTGCATCTGAAGGTGATGGAGTGTTATCTTAGATTGTGAAGGGAAGGAGTAAAGTTCCAGAAACAGATGCAAACTCTGAGAAGGGCAGTTTTGTTCTTCTGTCCTGAGAATTATAATATGTTCAGTTAGGAAGCGTTTGTAGAGATTATTTACTTAAAGGAATGTGAAAAATGACACGGAAGAACCTGTTTTTAAAAAGTATATACATTTGTTTAGAACTTTATAGTTCATAAAGCTATTCAAATACATTATCTGGCTTGATGATTACAATCCCATGAAGTATTAATAGATTTGACAGGATTATTATTCCCATCTATTGGGTGTGGAAACTGAGGTTTGACTGTGTATTTTAAGATAAATAGCTACAACCTTACATCTTCAAGGTAGTAATTTATTGCTCTTTCAAATTATATACCCAGTCATTTTATTAGATGTATGACTGTTCTTAGGACTAAACATGAATTTAGGAAAAACAGCCTTTGTATTTTAGATAGAATTCTTAAGTTTATTTTATATTTCCTAAAATGTCATTAAAACCTCATTTTATTAAGGGTTATAATAGAGGATTGTTAGTGCTACTTTCATGACCTTGAACTGTGCACCAGTTAAGTAATTTTACCCTAGTTGATTTGCCATGATAATACTTTGGACTTTGATAAAAGGGCCAATTGTTGGGTCACTTTCTTTTCATTTTTAAAACTGCTGTGTTTGATAATCACTCAGTAGTACATACATAAGTGCAGAGTTTATGGCTGTTAGTGATGGGGAAAAAAATCACAAGGAAATTTGATTATCCTACAGCAGAAGGTAGAGTATATATGAGTACAAATTTGGAATATGTTTTTTAAAGGAGACAAATAGTAGATGCTCAATAAGTGTTGTTTAATGAATACCATTTCTAAAATTAATGAATGAGTTAGTTGACTTCCATGAGTTATGCTATTAGGAAGTAAAGATACAAGCATGAAAATATGCTGATTCCAGGATGACAGAGTGTATGGAAATAGATTATACTACACTAGATTACCTCATAATGAGACATGTGTGTACTTGGTTTCAGTAAAATTCATACTGGTTCAAAATAAACTCTTGATATAGAAATTTTTCAGTAATTCACTAAAATCAGGTAAACTGACTATCTTTGATGCTTTTGGAGCTTTTAGTACTATTTTTCAGAATTTTTATTATTATGATTTGCCATATTCTGTGTATTTTCTCACTAAGTGCCATTTGAGGTGTATGGACAGTAATTCTGTGTGGTTTCAGATGAACAAGCTGCCATTTACTAGAATATTTGTGGAAGAATTGAGATATCTGCACCTTAAAATACGGCACAATCTAGCCAATCAGAAATGTGTGGGGAGACATTCTAGACAAATGGAATACATTAGGAAGGCATAGAGGAGATGTTTAAAAGTAGATCGTTTTGATGAGAGCAGAAGGTTTGTGTTGTGGGAAAAAATGGCTGAAGAGGTAATTTGGGGCCAGGTGATAGAGACTTTTGAAAACCTGGAAGGATTTTGGATTTTGTTCCAAAGGCCTATACTCTTCTAATTGGAGTATACATTCTTGTGAGGGCACAACTATATGGGACGTGCAAGTTCACAGGATAAACATGACACATCTTCTAGGAACATCACTTTTTAAATACTTGGGGGGAAATAAATATTTTTATATGAAGATTTTTTTTGAGACAGAGTCTCACTCTGTTGCCCAGGCTAGAATGCAGTGTTAGGATCATGGTTCGCTGCAGGCTTGACTTCCCAGGCTCCAGCGATTCTCCTGCCTCAGCCTCCCAAGTAGTTGGGATTACAGGCACCTGCCACCACACCCAGCTAATTTTTGTATTTTTTGTAGAGGTGGAGTTTTGCCGTGTTGCACAGGCTGATCTTGGACTCCTGGGTTCAAGCAGTACTCCCGCCCCGGCCTCCCAAAATACTTGGATTACAGGTGTGAGCCACTGCAGGCATGAAGATAGATTTATAAAGTATAAAACACAATTCATATGCAATTTTAAAGTAAAATTCTAAGATTTAAGCTAAGATCCCAATAAGATTCTGAAAGAAATTTGTGCATATAGTAAGTTATTTTATCCTGTAACTCCAGACAATAAAAGGATTTGTTTTCATTATCCTCTGCTGTTACACTTCTTCAGTAGATGAGCTTGAAAGACACAGGTCCAGGCAGTATGCAGCCATTACAAATTCCTTTTCGGAAGATTGACAGGGAGAGGGACGTAAAATTAGGAGGAAAGAAGAGACTACTTATATAATCTAGCACTGAAGTTAAAGACAGTCTTTGGGGAAGAAAGCTTATAAGATTAAGAGACGTTTCAAGAGAAGATTGTATTGAACTTGGTGGCTTATGATACAAAAGAGGTAGTTTACAAAGTTGAGTGAAAAGCCAGAGATGTCTTCCGGGTTCCAGGCTTCTGTGACTGGGAACATGCTGGTCATATTAATGGATATAAAGAAGTGAGGAAGATGGTGTGAAAGAGTATAAAGGAGGGAAAGGTGGGTAGAAAGGGATAGCAGTAGCAGTAAGGGGCTGGGGAATTTGTTATTTATTTTTTTTTGAGTCAGTCTTGTTCTGTCACCCAGTGCATTGGTGTGATCTCAGCTCACTGCAACCTCCGCCTCCTGGGTTCAAGCGATTCTCCTGTCTCAGCCTCTTGAGTAGCTGGGACTGTAGGCACATGCCACCACGCCTGGCTAATTTTTGTATTTTAGGTAGAGACGGGGTTTCACCATATTGGTCAGGCTGGTCAGACTCCTGACCTCAGGTGATCCACCTGCCTCAGCCTCCCAAAGTCCTGGGATTACAGGTGTGAGCCACCGTGCCTGGCCTTTTATTTTTGGTATGTTGAATTTGAGTGAAGTATAGGGTATTGAAGGGAGAAATGGCAAATAGGCAATGTAAGAAGGGGAACTGGAAAGAGACTTGGGATGAATATGTAGATTTTGGAACTTTATTCATGGTAAATAAAGGAGTCCGTGAGAGCAGATAGAATGTCTGAGGGTCAGTGTAGAAAAGATGATTGAAGGTTGTCCATTGGCCCACAGTACTAAATATGAGAAAGGAATAGGGTTATAAAGATGGATTCAGATAAGGGATAATCCATGGAGAGTATAGTATTGTGAAAGCAAAATGAAGGTCAAGTTTGAAAAAAAGATATTCTTATTATTAAGTAGTAGAGAGATAAAAGGGAAGGTAGTCTGAGAGATCAAAGGGGATTAGACTTAGATTAGACAACTGTGAGTAGTGATGGAATTTGAGCACTTTAAGCAAAGTAGTTAGGACAGGAGACAGTCGTGTGAACCATAAAGAGCTCCTTTCTCTTCTTCTACCAGAAGTATCTTTCTGGTAGAAAAAAGCTTTATATGGGGAAAACGTCTAATTTACTACTCCTGAAAGGAACAAAATGAAACATGTCCTATGAGAGTTTTTTTTTTTTTTAAGGAAACCAAATAGAGGAAGCAACTCATATATTAAATAATGAATTATTTTGCATTTGAAATTGTCCAATTTTGGGGGAAGAGAGGAGCCATTTTGGTATTCTGGCCCTAAAAAAATCAGCGTTAATTTCGACAGCTTAGTCTGTGGTCCTGAAAATTATAGATTATTTTTACCTTTATTATTTTGTACTTTTCTGGAACAAAATATTTACTTAGGATTCACATAGATCATACATATCTTTTATATATGTGACATATAAAAATATATATGACATGTATATTGGATAATTTGAAATACATAATGCTAAGTATTGACAAAGGTAGGTCACCATATAACTTGGGCACTATATCCTTTAACAAATGGGTTTAATTTAAAATTTCTTACTGGCAGTTTTAAAAAATCATATTTAAAAATAAATTCTGACAAGTGATACTGTGGTAAAAAATTTGTATCTAATCTTTAGGGATTTAGGGATTTAGGGATCTGTTGTGATGTCGATAAACATGCAAGAATAATTTAAATTTCTATAATTTAGGGACTGGGTCTTTGTTTATTGAATTTTAAACATATATACATGCTTGTCAGGCTGTTTAAACGTTCAGTAACTTGTTACGAGGTTTATTTCTACTTGAAAACCTACACGAATGTATTAGAATCACAGCATATTTAGGGGAAATATAAACTTTAACTCGATGCCACAAATATGTTCATTCTTACTGTAATCTGACAAGATTCCTTTACAATTATTTGTTTTCATAGTATTAAGTGTTAAAATATATAAAATGTATACAGTATATATTTTAACAAATAAGGTATAGTGATACCTCATGTTAAAGTCAATGTGACTTAGTAGTCATCTCCATTTGTTTAAAGACAGCGAACTTATTTTAATACAGTATTTAATTCTGCTTCATTAGGTTTCATAAATAAATCATATCAAACATTTACTCCAAATTATTTTGTAGCAAAATGAAGCATCAGTTTAAAAATTTGTATTACAGATTTTTACACATACTCTGTGCTGACGATTTTTAGTTTTGAAATTAATACTACAACATTTAAGAACTGTACAATTACCAGTCCTCTGTATTTAGTCAAGTTTAGAGTTTTAACAAGAGTACTAGTTTTTTAAACTGGGAAAGTTGTGATATTAGCTCATATGATGCCTTTTAAAATAAAAGTCTCTAAATTTTTTATTTAGAAAAGTTATTTAATAAGTTCACCTATTGATTATAATCTAGATTGTGACCATCTAAAATTGATTCCCACATCACAAAATTTAAAACAAATAGTATTATAAGAATTTTGATTGAGAAATGTAAACGGTATTCTTTAAGGTTATGTGATTGTATGTTTAATCTTAAATAGACAGTGACTTTAAGATAAAAAAAATCTATTTCTCAAGCTTTCTCTTAAGGATTTAATACCAGATTATTAGACCACATTAACTTGGAATGAGGTTAATGTTTAAATTATTGCCTTTTAAATTTGCCTCAGTTCATTCAAAGCTTTCTGAATCTGTTGGATGGATCAACATTTTGGTTGATTTTATAGAGTATAACCTTCCATTTTGAGACTTCCAAGATAATCCTCTTCTCCTCTCTGGCTTAGATTTTGCTCTTGGTTTGTTATATTTACCATTTAGGTTGTTTTCTCCACACTCATCATGCCACCACCAGCCTCCTAAAGGAGATAGATATGCAATTTAATGGGTACAGACTCGTATGTAGTTACTGTTACTGTATTTCCCCGTAAGTTTATCTTCCTTTCTTATAAATATTACAGTGTTTTAGATGCATGTATCCCAGTTTTAAATAATCTGTATAAGTCCCAATTTTAAATAATCTGTATAAATAATCTATACACTACCAAAAAATAGAAAATCTGAGGAAGATTAGAGGTAAAATACCTGATTGAACTAGAATGAACACTTTCATTATAGTTAAGAGGTTTTCGTCTAGAGAGAAAACGCTTATTTGGGATTCGGATTTTTAAAAGTTGTCATTGCAGATAATAGCTAATAATGTGGGAAGATACTTTGAAGATATGAAAATAAAGTATTGGTATCAGAAAAAGATACCTGAATAACCCTCTGGACAGTTGAAGTGTCCTTTTGCTTTGTGATCCCAAGTAGAAAACACCAAATCTTTGTTTTCCGGGATTGCATTGGGGACATTGCCAGTAATCGCAACTAGATGTAGCGTATAGTTGGTTTCGTGATTTCCCAAGTAAAAAGAATATTCAATATAATGTTTGTTGTCTTTCCAGTCTTCCAACTCAATTCGTAAAACATAATTAGATTGCTTCACTATGGAGTATATCTTCTCTAGGCCCAACCAAAATTCTCCTGAAAAGAAAAGTTTTAAAAATCTGTGAGTTATTAAGTACAGGTTGGACACTGACAGTTTTTTTAAGTGTTTTTTATTGGTGCAACTAATTGAGTTGTTTAGTCTTGAATCCCTTGATCATTTTAGTGTATCTTAAAATAATACCTTTTAAAACAATTTTATTGAAGATAGCTATGTGCACAAAAATGTTAAAAATATTAATATAACTGAAAGTCTGATTATCCTTTCTATAATGCATATGACAAGACATGTTTCACCAGTGAAATGTGTTACATTATTATAGATATTTTAAAGTCTCGTCATTGGTAGAGGAATATTTGCAAGTCTTTATATGGATAAACTTTACTGTCAGCTATTTATTAACATCCATATACAGTCAAGAGATGTGTTAAGTATTCCTAGAGACTTGAGTAATAATAATGTCACTTTCTTCAAATGTAAACCTGGCCTTTGGTATTTGCTTAATGTATGCTTTCTTTGTAGAAAAAGACAGGAATAAATTTAAAAAATCATTTTAAATTTAAAAGCATGGTTCTTAATAACTTTTTTCTGTAATTTTAAAAATTATTTTTATTGGAATTAAAAACAAATAACAAATATAAATAGATTGTTCTTCATCACAATCCTTTTTATTAAAGTATTTATAAAATACTGTTTTCATTAAACATTCACTATTGTCTTATTGCTATTGAGTTAGTAGGAAGCTTCATTTTAAGGATTGCTGGTAAATACAAGTACAAATGGGTTGCTTTCTTACCAGAATTAAGTGAGTATTCTCGACTTACCTGTCAGCCTTTTATTTTGGGGTTACACTCACTATTAGAAGATTTGGAGCTACAAAACTTATCACTGAGTATACCTTCTAGGTAGGGCTTTCACTGGTAGTTTGAATACAAAATTTTTAAATGGTCAAATAGTACTGAGCATTTAAAAATTTGATATAATAATGAATGTCTTCTACTTTATAAGTGAGTACTTAGACATCATTCATGGATTTTTGTATGTGCTTTTTGGATTTTAAACATCTGTTATTTTATCTTGCTTATTTTACTATTTGTAATCAAAATAGAATAATTTGCATTGAGTTAACTAATTCATTATAAGCCATACATTCTATATATTATATTTAAATAATTGAAATTTTAAAATGTATACTGTATGTCTGAGTTTCCTGGTCCTTTTAACTTCCAATTAATTGATATGTAAAACGTTAATGAGAGAATAGAGTGACTAATGCTAGGAGTGGTTCTTTTCACAGCTTATTTGTAACAGTTACTACTTATGACATAACATTTAATCAAAATTGTCTTTAATAATTATAGTTATGATCATTGTAAGCCGTGGAATTAAATTGTGATAAGTATATTTAAGAACAGACATGTAATTGTGATAAATATAATTCAAATAATAACAGTTGTAATAAGTGTAATTTACTAACAAATGTGTAATTGTTTGATAATAAATTATATGAAGGCTGAGACTGCTTCTCGTTCGTTACTACTTTTCCTAATACCTGGTCCATAAGAGGTTCTCAGTAAATATTTGTAGATTAGCAAGTGAATGAATGATTGAATGTAGTCCCCTTACCATCAAGCCTCCCAAAACCATATTTGTAGTTCTCCCACGTTTCATTGAAGTTTTGTGATCCATCTATTCGATGTTGAATTAATGTCCATGGACTACCTGAATATAATGAATGAAATCATGTATTTTTAGTAGATTTATGTTGACAGATGTAAATAACACTTTTTTGTTTGTTTGATTTTAATTGGTGGTTTTGTAAGGTAGTTTATTAATGTTATGGCAATACATTTTATTATTTATTATGGTCCCAAAAGTTAAGTGAAAGGCAATTAATGAATTTTGGCATAGTAAACTTATTGATAATAGTCACTTCAGATTATTTTAGAGGAAAAGGAGAATATTGAGTAAATACATAAACAAGGTAAAAGTATTATATTTATACGAATACTCATATATATTTCATATATATATGTATAAAACAATGATAACCAGGTTAATCTTCCTAATACGTAATGAGTAAGTTGAACTAACTACTGTCTATTCTCCTTAGACAGGTTTTACCTGATATAACATCACAGTAGACATGAAAAACTTGAGAGTTGCTGGGTCTGATGGCATACATGCCACTTGTATGTTCACCTCTGTTATAAATGGTGGTACATTCAGCAGGAATGCCTAGAATCAATAAAATGTTATTACATCAGATTTAGTAATAGGAATAATATCTTTGGAGCTTGAGATTTCACTTGACATTTTATGAAGTTGTGGCAAATGTAGCATTTTTTCAGTAATGTTTATGTTAAAGCATTTTTCTTAGATGGCGTGTTATTTAAGAATGTAAGAATCATCTTACCAAACTATTTTCTTTTAAAAAATTAATTATTTTTTAGAGACAGAGTCTTGTTCTATCACCAGTCTGGAGTCCAGTGACCTTTAACTCCGTAAATATTTCAGCATGTATCTCTTAAACAGGAGATTGTTCTCCTTTAAAACTGCAATACCATGATCACATCTAAGAAAATTAATAAACCTTCTATATTATCTAATAATCAAGTCCATATTTGTATTTCTCTGATTGTCTTAGGTATGTCTTTTATAGGGTGTAAAAAGAACCCCAGCATCCAGTTTAGGTTGATACATTGTATTTGATGGATATCTCTTAACTATCTTTTAGTCTAGAACAAGTCCTAAGAATAGGGAATTTGATAATAATAGCTTCAAGAAGGAAACCCACCAAAGTGTCTTACCATCATGTTTTACATTTCTTATTTCATTCAACTGAAGAAAGGGAGTAGTTCTTGGTGCTCTTGGCTTGGAAGATAGAGAAATTTCTGTGGGTTCTTGAATACTAGTCCTTCTGAGCTGATAAAAGAATATAAATCTGTTTTTTAAAATGATACTGAATATACAATTAGGGGAAATCTGAGTAAGGATGTCAGAAGTACAGTTTGTCTTTCAGTTCATAATGTTATAACGGTGTTTGATATTTAGATAAACAGTGTTATTCAGATTGTACAGATTACCTGTTCTCAAAATATTTAATCAGGGACATTATTTAATAAGATAAAAAAATAAAGCAAGGCAAAAAAGCAGACATTGGTCGGAAAACAGAGCAAGGCCAAAAGTAGAGACTGCTTTGCTTAGAATATTGTAATGTATTCTTTTATTTATATGAATAAAATATATTTGATATTCTGTTCAGATTTTAAGTTTAATAATTTTCAGTTTTAGGTCTTACTGATCTTCAGACCTGTGATAAAGACATAATACATAATTTGAACCAGGCTTTCTTGATAATTTGATAATTTTTGACCTGTAAACATATCTGTAGATGTTGGCAGGTTGGCAAGTTTGTTTGCTTACTTTCTATATATTCAGTAGTTTATCGTTAGTTTAGCAGTAACATTTTATTTTTATTTAAGTGTGTTGGGTTTGCAATTTATTGAATGATAGTTTTTCTCATTGACAGTAAGAAAAGCAGAATATATAATATCTTGCATTATTAGTGTTAGTTTTTTGATGCTGGCATGAATGATATTTCCTAGGACCTTATTTAAAAGGATCTATTGTAAAGTTTGCTTGCTGGGTATTACTCTTTTCTACTAAGTAACTATGTGATCTTAAAGTTACTTAAATTTTTAGAGTTTTGTTTTTTTAATTTAAATATGAGAAAGTTAAATGATCTAACTCTTCTTCCAACTCAGAAATTCATTGTTTTGGTTTCTTCACACATTTTTATTTTTAGACACAATGTATATTACTATAGTAACATTTTGCTTTGGGGAGCAGGTTCATTTAATCATAGTAAAAGATATAATTGAAAAGAATTTAGAATAATAACATCATAAGAAGGAAAGTATGGAAACCAAAAGTAGTTGATAAAAAACCTTTTAGCAGCACTACTAACATTATGTTTGTTTAGTGGAAATTGGTAATAATATTTGTTTTATATCTCTTGAAAATGATTTTGTTTACCAGTTTCTCTGAGTTTATATTATGTTTTTTGAATCCTCTTGAATAGCTGTTTGAGAGTATTATTAATATTTTTAAACTATTGTACTGCATATTAGAATACATGGATTCTGACATAGCTTTTTTCTAAACAAGTGCTTCCCTCTGTCACTTCACCAGATGTTTACATTGTAGATTAATTACATTGTTGAATGTTGACCTTTAATTATGAGGCACACTATTTCTAGTAATCCAAGTAATAATAATCATAGCACACGCTTCTGTGTGAATATGACATTACATTTATTAATTCAACAGAAATGCCTACTGTGTGCCATACAGTATTCTATATTCTGGAGTATATACAAATAATGGAAAATATGAAGATAATGGAAAAAATCCCTGTATTCACAGAGCTTACATTTTAGTGCAGGAATAGAAGAGATAAATAACTAAAATTTATGTTATGTTAAATAAAGGTGAGTGTGCAGGAGAAAAGTAGCTAAGGAAGTAGAAGTTTTCAGGGATGGGACCAGGCGGTTGTGATTTTTGGTTAAGTGACCTTGTAAGTCTTCATTGGGAATTTTTTGTTTGATAACGACCCTAAGGGAAATCAGAGAGTGGGCCACGTAGATACCAGGGCAGAAGAGCGTTCCAGTTAGAGGAAACAACAAGGGCAAAGGCTTTGAGGTGGCAGTATGTTTGATGTGTTTGAATACTGGTAAAGCGGTCAGAATAACTAGAGTAGAGGAGGTGAAGTCAGTGAGATGACGAAGGGTTGGGTAATCTTGGTCTAAAGAGCCAATATGAGTGAAATGGAAAGCTATTGTGTGGTTTTGAGCAAAGAGAAACATGATCTAATTTGAATTTTAGTAAGATGACATTGGCTGCTATGAATTAATTTTTTTTCTTACAATAATCCTATAAGTTCTGTTATTATCTTTGTAGTATATGTGAGGAAACTGAGAGATAAAGGGGTGAAGTAATTTATTCAAGGTCACACAAAGTTTTAGAGCCATGGTTTAAATGCAGGTAGTTTATTAGCTTCAGAGCCTGCAATTTTAACAGTTATGCTGATGTGATAATTTTACTCATGATCCAGTTAAAGCTTGTAAATAATTTTAGGATTCAGTGTTTTTACAGACCTGTGTGAAAGATGGGACATACCATTAAAATACTGACTTACCTGATTTTCTATTTCTTTTATTTGACTATGCTGTTGGTTTAATTGTTTATATTGGTCTTCCACGGTCTGGAGAAGGTCTTTGATGCTATTATCTTGTTTTTCTACAAAAGTCTGGATATAGAGAGTAGGTTGGTTATAAGTTGCTTTCCTCTTTCTTTTCTATTAATTTCCTGTAACACTATCATAATCTAAATTTTTAAACTAATAATGGATTTGAAAAATGAATATTGGCAATTCCTTCCCCTTGTATGCTTCTTTCAAATAGCACATATTTTTGTCCTTAACATTTTATTTAAATTGTACTATCTCTAAAATTTGATTTTCTGAACTTCAATTAAAAGAAAAAGCCCAGCATATTTTCATATGAATAAATCTTTTCCATTTACTGTATTATTTAATCTGTTTTAAACACTGGAGAATAGTTTTAAATTTTTTTTAACTTTTTACTTACCTTCAGTAATTTACAATAGTGTAATGACATAGTGTTCTAGATTGTATAATTTAACCGATTTGTAATTTTCATATAAAATGCAAATTTTCAGTGTTTTCATATATAACATTAGGGAAACAAAAAACTAACTTGAAATTATAATAGGAAATTTTATTTTCTGGAGATTATTTTTCTTGGAAAAAAAAGTATTTCAACAATGCAACAAAGTATTTCAAATGGCATGCCTTAGAAATATTTTTTTTAAAAGATCCACATTGAAAACATAAACATGAACCCTCTTTATTTTCTACTTACTTTAAGTGAAGTTACTTCTGGGTGTTCTGGAGTTTCAGGTTGATTTTGAATTAAGTTAGTTAGTTGCTCTTCTAAATATTTCACTTTTTGTTGAAGTAGAATTTTTTCTTCTAGGAGGCTTTCAAGTTTTGAGTTGAGTTCAAGTGACATATTCTTTACCTCTTCATTTTTGACTTGTAGTTTATATGTAGTTCTTCTCAGTTCCTTTTCTTCTTCTTTGATTTCACTGGTTTGCAGCGATAGATCATAAAAAGACTGATCAAATATGTTGAGTTTTTGAAATATGTCATTAATTTGGCCCTTCGTCTTATGGACAAAGTCTTTAAGACCATGTCCCAACTGAAGGAGGCCATTGGCTAAAATTTTTACATCGTCTAACATAGCAAATCTTGATTTTGGCTCTGGAGATAGAGAATCAAATGATGAATTGTCTTGATCAATTCTGGAGGAAATAACTAGAGGAACAATAAAAAGAAGGAGCTTAATTGTGAACATTTTTATCTTGATTTTCAATTTCAAGCAACGTGGAACTGTTTTCTTCTGGAAGCAGACCTAGACTTCTTAACTCTATATATACCAATATTTGCCCAGAAAAGGTAAGGTTGGTAGGTGAACATAGTTAATCATTAAGCCGTGTTAACTTGCACGAATGTAACCTTCTTCCACATTGAGTTAGATCAATGCTAAATGAAATCAAAGAAATGAGCAACTAACTTAATAGGTAATTTGAAATTGTATTTAACTTTGCTGTATTATAAACTACACATTCAATGCTATGGTGACTACCTGTTTTTAAAAGCTAATTTTACTTTTTTATGATTTTAAGAGATTTACAAGTCAAAAATAAACTTTTTTGTTGGGTAAATTTATTATTAAAGTTGAGGGGAAAAAAGTAATGAATTAAGTATGCATTTCTCAAACTGTACTTTAGTTCTTTTGGAAACAGTGATCCATTCCAAAAAACACTTTCTCTCTGAAGCCTTTCTCCACTCCCTCAGGTGGTGTTACGGCTCTCAATGCTGTGTTCCTCTGGTACTCTGTATAAATCAATGTATAATTATATGCTCCTCATTTTTTGTCACTATAATTGTTAATATGTTTTTTTGCATCACCTTATATGTCTTAACCATCCTTGTATATTGTCACAAAATCCCATATATAGTAAGTGTCATTAAAGACATTTCACTCCCTTTTCTCCACTGTGTTCTGTGTCTCTGTGTTCTAGGCTCTTTACCATGTGCTCGTTGAAGGAACAATGGATATGTGGTCATCTAGGACCAAACTAGAATTGAATCTTAAATACCTTCAATGTCACAAGCAGCTTGCCCATCATAAGTTTTTCTGAAGTTTGTTAGCTTAGTAACAATTTTGATAATATACATTTAACAAAAAGAGGAGATTAATAACATTTTTTTTTTAAAGATGATGTCTTAATGTATTGCCCATGCTGGTCTGGAAATACTGGGCTCAAGCAATTCTTTTACCTTGGCCTCCCAAAATTTACAGGCATGAGCCCAGCCGATTACAAGCGTGAGCCCAGCCAATTAATAATATTTCTAAAAATAAATGTTCCACTATGCTTCCAACTTAGTGTTAAAAAAATACTAAATGCTTATATTAGTGATTATTCTTATTGAGTGTTCATATTAAGAAATTTGTGAGAAAATAGCATCCTTTAAAACTGCTTAATCTTGACATATTAATATGGTGAAATTGTTAAGAATATGGGTGCTGGAGTCAGACTGTGGTGTGGGTCCAAAAGCCGGCTCTAGCTGTCTGGCCTTGGACAAGTTACTTAACCTCCCCATGGATTAGTCTCCTCATCTGTAAAGCTGGGGTAATTATAGTACATAATTCATAGTGTTATGATAATTTAACAATAATACATGTAGAGCACTTAGAACAGTGCTGGGCAAACAGGTAGTGCTCAAAATGCTAGTTATTATGTCACATGAAACTAACTTTTAACCTGTGTATGTGTGTGGGTATATATAATCAACCTTACCTAAAAGAAATTTTTCATAAAGTTAATAGCTTTTTAACACAGGGAAAAGTTTTATCATAATAAATTTCAGTGTAAATTATAAATTGTTAATACAAAATAAACCATTTCCAAATTTCTTTTCTTTTTTAGAGACAGGGTCTTGCTCTGTTGTCCAGGCTGGAGTGCAGTGGCATGATCATAGCTCACTATAGCCACGAACTCCTGGGCTCGAGCAAGCCTCCTCCCTCTGTCTCCCAAGTAGCTGAGACTATAGATGCATGCCACCACACCCAGCTAATTTTTAAATATTTTGTAGAGACTGTGTTTCACTATGTTGCCCAAGCTGACCTTGAACTCCTGACTTCAAGTGAACCTCCCATATCAGCCTCTCAAAGTGCTGATATTAAAGGAGTAAGCCACTGTGCTCGTCCCTAAATTTCTATTCTTAGAAATGCCTCTTCATTGTGTAAAATAGAGGCTCTTCCTTTTGATGACTTAGGATTAAGGGTTTTGGGTATAATAGTTACAGTAGAGGCAGTATTCCATAGTGGTTAAGAGCATGATTCTGGAATAAGACTGCCTGAATCAGAATCCCGGATTTCATATTCTTCAGCTTTGTGACCTTTGGTCAAATTACTTCACATCTCTGAACCCCTGTTTTCTCATCTCTCCAGTGAGAATAACACCTATTTTATAGGGTCGTATAAAAGATTAAAAGTTTATATTTTCAGAGCACTTAGAACATTATCTGATGTATCATAAACACTACACAGTATTATATATTAGCCATTTTTGTAATTAGAACTAATCAATGCATTTGTACCCATACTATAGTATTTTACTGGTGAAAATTAATTGCATATTAAGATAATGTAAATTGAGAAATTTTGTTATAGTCTAGATTTTCTGAATTTTGGTCTCGTACCTTTTTAAAGAATTACATCTTTTGATTAGGTTGTGTATGATTTTTAAGTGTCCAATATAGAACCACAAAAGGGTAAGAAAATATTCTTCATTTCCATCTTACCCTTTACTCTGGTTCATGTAATGGAATTATAGAAGTGTATGTTGAGCTAGAGAAGAAATTCAAATTTTCTCCTTCTTTAAATAGAAAAGTTACAGTTGTAATTATTGGTCATGAAATACATATTTCAAAACTTCTCTTAATTAAGCTGTCAGCTTTTGTGGCTTATAACTATTGACCCTGATATTTCATCCACTTGCTAGTTGAGGGAGAATATAGATGGGCCAGCTTCTCTCCCCTATTACACTATAAGCTGTTGATTGGCAAGATTTGTATGTGTTTTTAACTTATATTCCTTATAATGCTTTAGTACAGTAATGCCTTACACATTGTAGAAACAATATTTATTGAATAAGAGAATGATAAAATCAACATATAGGGATTTCTAAGTGCAGAATGTATACGTAGTAGTGTTTACCCCCTTTTGATATAGTACATTCTTTTTAGAGAAGGGAATTTGAAGAGTAGCCCCTTTTTTAGTTAATGAAAGTAACTGAGCACTAGTACCAAAGACAGGCTTTATGAAATTATTTCCTTCTATATTATATCCTACTGTAGTAGGATACTAACACTTTTTGCAAAATTTGTGCAATTTCTCACAAATAACACTGACAGAGTAGAGGTAATGGTCACGTAGTCTTGGTTTCTAGTATATTGTCTCTTGGTATAAATATCTGTATAATTCTTATAGTAATTTGAACAGCATTATTGATTATAATTAAAGTAATTTGCCTAATTATAAACTGCAGAAGCATTTCAACGTGGGAAAATGCATTGAAAGTAGTAATTTTATAAAGGATTTTCTGCCTGCCTTTTAATACTTCCTGTCTGAGTACACACTGCTAAAAGCAGAATCTGATCTTTGCTTGAACTTGTGCCTATTTAAATAGAACCCTGATCAAATATAACCAGTAATGTAAAAACTAAAAAATTTTATGCCAAGGAAAATAAACTTGTAAGCAAATGTAGGGCCTAATTTAAGGATTCCTAGTTCCTAGGAACCAATATAAAAATTTCTTAGCTACAGAGAATTTTAGGACATTTAAGAGCCTAAATTGTTTAAATTCCAAGCAAAGCAAAGTCCTTTATCCTACACGAGGTTGTGTAATCTTATGGAGATATGTCTTTCAAATAAAATACAAGGTATTTTGGCTCTTTTTTACATAGTATCTCTAATTTTTTCCTTTTTAACTACAATAGTTTGTTTTTTAATTAATGTTGTATAGGAAGATCCTATTGTATGTTTTATACTGAGAACATATCTCAGTTAGAACCACTCACCTATCAAGTGCTCAATTGTCTCATTAGACCGTCTTTTTGGACAGTGTAGATCCAGAGGTTAAGTGAGCTTTGAAGGAATAATTTTATCTATCTTACTGTTTTGTGTGTTCACTATTAACATGTTAAGTTTTATACATATATATTTTTTAGTTGAACAGCCGTATCTTTGGACATGTAAAGATTTTTTCTTTATTTATTTTTGAGACGGAGTTTTGCTCTTTGTTGCCCAGGCTGGAGTGCAGCGTCGTGATCTCAGCTCACTGCAACTTCCCCCTCCTGGGTTCAAGCGATTCTCCTGTCTCAGCTTCCCGAGTATCTGGAATTACAGGCACCCCCAACCAAGCCTGGCTAATTTTTGTATTTTTAGTAGAGACGGGGTTTCACCATGTTGGCCAGACTGGTCTCGAACTCCTGACCTCAGGTGATCTGCCTACCTTGGCCTCCCAGAGTGCTGGGATTACAAGCGTGAGCCACCATGCCCAGCTAAGATTTTTAATGTGCAAAGTACTTATTGTGAAAATTCAGGTATTTCAAAAACCTATAAAAAATAAAAATCTCGACTCTATTAACATTTTGGGTCTATCATACCAGACCCTTTGAATGACTAAACATAATTTTTTATAACACAAGTGGGATCTTGTTATGTATAATAGCTCATGATATATATATCATTCAGGATCTTAGTATTTTAAAATTTATTTTCCTATGAATGTCTATAGAGTTACCACGTCCTTTTTAATAGCTGCATAATCCTGTTATATAGATGAACCTTAATTTAATCAGCCCCCTTTTAATCATTTGTTTCCAATTTTCTAATTATAAACAGTATGTATAGAAAATGCTTTTATGGTGGTGATGTATGTATATAAATATTTTCATATACATTCATAGATGTTGACTTGTAACTTACGATTGCTTTTGTCAGATTGTCCTTCAAAAGGGTTGTACCAATTTACATCCCTGCCAGGAGTATATGAGAGTTCCTCTTTTCCTATATCCTTTTACAAATGCTTTTAATGAAAAAGGCAAAAAATGTTGATAAATCTAATAGACAAGTATATATCTAGTTTGTTTTGCTGGCCATCTCTGTTGCCGTCTTTGCGAATCATCTGGTTATGTACATAATTTGCTCCCCTCCTTGTTACCCTCTTTTTAAGTTTGTCTCTTTCTGACTAATTTTAGGAATTATTTACATATTGTGGATACTAATTCTTTGTTATATATATAACAAACAATAGATTTTTTCAGTTTGTCATTTTCTTCCTCCTGCGTTTATGGTATCACTTGCTGTGTATTAATAGATGCTTTAAAAATTACATCTTATAAATGTTCTGGCTTATGCTAAGAAATGCCTTTCTCACCTATAAAATCCGGTCTCTTTAAAGCTCTTCTAGTATTTTTGTGGTTTTATTTTTATTATTTTAGCCTTTGATCTATAATTTATTTTGATGAGAGATTGAAATAGGAATTCATCTTTTTCCTGCTAAGTGTCAACTACCTCAACATTTTTCATTAATTTACCTTGTTGATTTGAAATTTCTTTGAAGGAGAATTTTAAATGCAATGTAAAGACTTACTAGATTTATTTGGGAATTTATTAATGGAGTTAGTAGTCAAATGGAAAAGAATTTGGATTCGGAACTCAAAATTGCATGCCTTTCACCTTCAGAGATGAGTTTAAAATTATATTGCTTATATTGGAAATCAAACGTAGTTTATAGATAGTGTTCAATTTCTATTTAACCTGGAATCTAAACTCCTAGAAGTGTTAAGTAACTAAATTTTCTAATGCTGTCTGTACTATTCATTCATTTATTCATTAAATATGAGGCACTATTTAAGGGACTGGTAATAGAGCAGTTATACAAATAGATAAGGTCCCTGCCCTCATGTATTTTGGCTGTATTAGAGGAGATATAAAAATAAGAAGTAATACATAAATGAACAAGATAATTATAGATTCTATAAGAGTTCTGAATGAAGTAACAAAGTGGTGTGATGGGGGAAGGGTAAAGTTGAGGCTTTCCTGTATTTGAAAGATGGGAAGTAGCCAGTCATGTCCATGCCCGCAAAGCAAAGATAGTAGTAATCCAAATGTGGAGATTTGGGAGTGGGGGGTGGTAGAGGGAAGCATGCATGGCATGTTTGTTTTTCTGTATGTTTTGCTTGTCTATTTCATTTGGAAATTTCTCATTGACATTTGTGAGCAGATTTTTTTGAGTTTTTCTTTTCTTTTATTATTTTTTATTTTTTAATGTAGATTAATACTTTTTTTAAACTTTTAGGTTTGGGGACATGTGAAGGTTTATTAGGTAAACTCGTGTTACAGGGGTTAGTTGTACAGATTATTTCATCACTCAGGTATTAAGCCCAGTACCCAATAGTTATCTTTTCTGCTCCTCTCTCTCCTCCACCCTCCCTTCTCAGGTAGACCCCTGTGTCTGTTTTTTCCTTCTTTGTGTTCATAAGTTCTTATCATTTAGCTACAACTTCTAAGTGAGAACATGCAGTATTTGGTTTTCTCTTCCTGCATTAGTTTGCTAAGGATAGTGGTTCCCAGCTCCATCCATGTTTTTGCAAGACATGATGATCTTGTTCTTTTTTATGGCTGCATGGTATTCCCTGTGTATATGTACCACATTTACTTGATTTCTTTATCCAGTCTGTCATTGATGGGCTTTTAGGTTGATTCCATGTCTTTTGCTATTGTGAATAGTGCTGCAGTGAACATTCATGTGCATATGTCTTTATAGTAGCATGATTTATATTCCTCCGGGTATATACACAGTAATGGGATTGCTGGGTCGAATGGTAGTTTTGCTTTTTGCTCTTTGAGGAATCGCCATACTGCTTTCTACAGTGGTTAAACTAAGACTCCCACCAACAGTGTATAAGTGTTCCCTTTTCTCCACAACCTCACCAGCATCTGTTATTCCTTTTTTACTTTTTGATAATAGCCATTCTGACTGGTGTGAGATGGTATCTTATTGTGGTTTTGAATTGCATTTCTCTCATGATCAGTGATGTTGAGGTTTTTTTCATATGCTTGTTGGCTGCATGTGTGTCTTCTTTTCAGAAGTGTCTGTTCATGTGCTTTGTGAGCAGATTCTTTAATCCCAGGTCCTTGTCTGGCTGCAGTGTGATTCTGTGTTCACAGCATTTATCATACTACATTATTATCATTATTTGCTTGTCTGATTTCCCCTCTAGACCACGAGTTCTATGAAGCTAAGGACTTCATCTTTTATCTCTATTCTCAGTACCTATCACACTGGATACTCAATAAACATTGCAATGAGGAATTATAGACATACTTCAGGTTAATATATTACCATGTGCTTTGGATTCTGTTCTTTCCCACCATCGCCTCAGGAATCTTACATTCTTGTTCTAGTATATGCAGACTCTGTCTTAACTAAATTATTTTCACAAGGATGTGATCAAGATCAAACCTTTCTTATTTTAAAAGACTTCCAAAATTCCCATAGTCTGTCTCCAATTATTGCATTATCTTTTTTCCCTTCACAGCTACTTTTAAGAATTTCTTACCTCCTTTTTATTCCTGACCCTACTTTTATCTGTTTGCAGCCTGAGATTATCAGTGACTTTCATTTTGCTAAATCCCGTTGAATTTTTTCAGTACTTGCCTAACTTGGCTCTTGAGTAGCACTAAATATTTAATTATTTCATTTTTCTTATATTTTCTTCCTTTGGTTTCCATGTCATTGTACTCTGGTGGTTTTCTGTCTTCTGTATGGGTGCCCTTTCGGTCTTCTTTGCAGACTTGTCTGTCTCTGTCTGAACGTAGAATCTTGGGATTTCTTAAGATGCCATTCTTAGAACAACACAGATGAGTAATTAAATGATATACTTTTTTTTTTTTTTTTTTTTTAGATGGAGTCTTGCTCTGTCACCCAGGCTGGAGTGCAGTGGCGCGATCTCGGCTCACTGCAAGCTCCGCCTACCGGGTTCACGCCATTAAATGATATACTTTTAATTCTTTCATAGTTGGTGTCCTTGAGAATAACTCTCAGCTTGGGAAAAATGATGTACAGATACAAGACAGAAAAGATTAAGTAAAAACCTTATAGTCCTGAATTTGAGTTGGAAATATCAGTATGAAGTCTGGATACTTTTTTTTTTTTGTTGGAAGCATTTCTCCCCAACTCTTTGTACTTAAATTGTCTAGAAACAGTGACCAATCCACAATGAATGCTCACGTTGTGGTTTGAAAAAAATGTTTCTTAAGAAAACTACAGCTTCTTGGTAAAATGACTGACTCCAGGTCGGGGGAAAAAAAAATAAGAGTCTGGAACGTCTTGTCATAACAGAAAATTGTCACAGACCACTATGATTGAATCAAAAACCAGCTTGCATTGTTTTTTTCATTTGCCAAAGATGGGACAAGTTAATCATCCATAAGAATAATAACTCTAATATACTGAGACTCATCAAATATGTTTCATCTGTGAGTTTATAAATGATGCTAAAAAATAAGATGTAATTGATCGTTTTTGGAGGATTGTAGTGCACCAATTTATTATTTTGCAAACTGGCAGGTAATGGAAAAGAATCAAGCATTTATTCCTGCCTCTCATATGATGGTTCACTGGCAAAGCAAATAGTAGATGAGGGAAAGCACTCTTCATAAATGTACTCCAGATGCAAAATTAAAAAGAAATGACAGGATATTACCGTTTGGCAACCTTAATTAATTAATGGATTTAGGTGGGCTGGGGACTGTGGCTTGTGCCTGTTATCCCAGCATTTTGGGAGGCCAAGATGGGAGAATCACTTGAGCCCAGGAATATAAGACCAGCCTGGGCAACATAGTAAGACTCCATCTCTACAAAAAAATAGAAAAATTAGCCCAGTGTGATGGCACGTGCCTGTAGTCCCAGCTACGTAGGAGGCTGAGGCAGAAGGATCATTTTAGGCCAGGAGTTCAAGGCTGCAGTGAGGTATGATCGTACCACTGCACTTCAGCCTGAGCGACAGAGTGAGACCTTGTCTCTTAAAAAAATAAATAAATTTTAAAAATTAAAAAAATAATGGATTTAGGCATTGATCATCGTCTACTAATTTCATAGAAGGAAGCAACCAAACATTTCCTGAAAAAATAACACATTATCCTTTATAAAGTGATCTTCCTGAAAAAAATTCTAACCTAAATATGACTAAGGCGCTAGATTCAATTCTCAATTTACAAAAACCACAGAAGAACATCTCAAATGACACTACAGGGGTGCAATCAGTAAAATCTAGGCTCTGGAAAATCTACAGAGAAACTTCACTTTCTTCAACAAATAAATCACAAGGCTAGAAAAGATGGGGGATCTTATAAATGAAAAGACTTCCCCACAGACAGCTAGGTACCTATTTTTTCCTCCTATAGGGCTTTTGCATGCCTGTCTTGTAACACTGTGTTGTTTTGAAGTGGTCTGTGTATAGGCATTTTTATCCCATTATACTATGTTCCTCAAGACCAGGGAATGACTTCTTAATCTTCCTATTTATTTTTCTAGTGCCCAACACAATGCCTGACATTTGTTGGAGCAATCAGCAAATGTTTTCTTTATAAATTTTACTGGATGATTTCAGTGGTTGGTCAGTCATAGTCATCTTTGATCTTAAGTTTTTTAGACTAGCAAGCTGACCAGTCATAACAGTTCTGTATTTGCCTTTTATATGTTTTGACTATTTTGAGCACAACTGATTCTTCTTCTTTTTTTAGTACTTCTAGTTGGTGTGCTTATTGTCAAAGACATTCCCATCCTCTGGCATGGCAATTACTTTATTGCTTTTTCTAATTGTAAAGATCATATATTTTCACTGTAAAATTGTAAAGTATAAAAAAAGAAAACCATTACTATTAACTAAAACACACTCAAGCCCAGCCATCATTATTAGTTTTTAGAAATATAATTTTATCCACTCTGTCTCTCTACCTTCCCCCACACCCCCACACAGAGTTTTCCACAAATAGGGTAATGTTACTATACATCCTGCTCTGGAACCTGCTTCTTCCTCACTGTATATCCCATTCAACATGCTAGGTATCTCTTTCCACATCAATAAATATGGCTGTACATTGTTTGGGGATACATGATATTCCTTCTTATTAAGGTATCTTAATTAACCAACTCAGTACTGATAAACGTTGTGTTTCTTTATAATTTTGTGTAATCATTCTCTTATCAAAAATGTTGTAATGAATTACTTTGAACACAATCATTTGCACATGTGTACAGTTTTCTCCTTAGGTTAGAGGTGTGTTTGTTGGGTCAAAGTGTTATGTTCATTTAAAATTTCTATATTGCCCTACCACTCTTCAGAAAATTTAGACCTGTTTTCATTGCCCCAGCAGTTGATTAGCAAGGTTCTATTATACTAAACGTCTTGTTCATTGGCTCTAAACGCTAGTCTTCAGGTAAAGTAACTCTTGATTCTTTTTTTTTTTTTTTTTTTTTTTTAGCTATTTGGTGTCTTTTCTTGAATTATTTCTCTTCTGTGTGTTGGCAGCAAGGACTATTAAAGTTTGTCTATGATAGAGATGATGAGCTGGACAAGAATTCAAATAAATGCAAATTAGGATGTTATTGTTTTGTAGTAACTACCTAACTCTATTATATCCATCATATTGTAATGTGTTTTTGAAAAATAATGTGGAATATTATACCTCTTAAATTCTTAATCACATTTATACAAAAGCCACATTTATAAATGTCATCCTATTTATATGTGCTTGGAGGAACTAAGATAATATTAGAACTATTTTTTTAACTTAATAATGTGTCAGTCCATATTCATTTATTCCAGAAGCCTCTTGTAGAGTGAAGATAATGAGTTTTGAAGTCTGACTGACCTTTACTCTGATTTCAGCTTTGTCACTCACTTGGTTATATGCAAAAATCAGTTAACTTTTCTGAATCTCAATTTATCTGCAAAATTGGGACATGTTTTATTGCTGTGTATTTGAATGATTGCTCTCAGGAGTAAATAAAACGTCACATGTGAAAATACTTAGCATAATTGCTAGCCAATATCAGTAATTCAGTATTTGGTCACTTATTTTGTGGTATTTTGTGAGTGATACATAGTGTTTCTTAGATATGTATTTACTATCATCTATACTGTTGCTTTCACAGAAATCTTCTCTACATATACCCTCAGAGTCTTAATTTTGCCAATCGTCAAGGTTCTGCTAGAAATATAACAGTGAAAGTCCAGTTTATGTATGGAGAGGATCCAAGCAATGCCATGCCGGTAAGAAATGTTCTTTTACTTTTCTAATTTTTTGTATTAAGTTCAAATAGACTTTTTTCTTTCTCTTTGGTTGGCAACTGCAACCTGGAAATTAATGTGATCTTTTAAACCAAATTTCTAACTGCATTACTTTCTGTATAGATAGTAATGACATTACTTGAAGACTAACTTATTTTTGAAGACTTGGTATATGTTAGGCACTCCTAGAAATACAAAGATGAATAAGACTTGTAATCCAGAGGATATAAAATGAATACATATAAATCTAAAATAGTGATTTTCAAAAGAGGGTTAGATCACCTAGAGAACTCTATCAAAGTAGAGATATCTTTTCTGTACTTTTGGCGTCTGTGATTCTTATTCTCCTCAACTCCCTTTAGAATGTAAGGCCAGCTAAGGAGGTGGGAAGTGATGTGTGGTATATGAGGCTGTGTTATAGTTTGAAAATGCTCCGTGGGTGATTTTAATATGTATGGCTTTTCCTACCTTGGTTGACAAACTCTGGCATTAGTTCTCAATCTTGGCTGCACATTAGATTCACCTGGGAAGCTTTTCAAACTACCAGTGCTCAGGCTGAATCTCACTTAAATCATAATGTATGGGGATTGGACCAGGTTTCAGTATTTTTAAGTCTCACCAGGGATTACATTTTGCAGACAATGTTGAGAATCAAGCTATGTGCTAATTATTAGAAGATTGGTATAGGGATTCAAAGGAATAGGTAGGTATTCAGAGGTGGGAGATAATGCCTTACTGAGGTAACAGGCATCTCATGGAAAAGGTACTTTTGTGCTGAAACCAAAGGTCATTAAAATGTTAATAGCAGTGTGTTTGGAGAGCAGGGAAAGGAAAGCATTTCAAGTTGGGGAATGCCTGTGAACAGTAATGACAGTGGTGAGTTGCCAGGGAACCAGAGCACTGGAAGAAAAATCAGAAATAGTAGATTGAGACCAGACTAGAGATTCTTGACTGTCCAAATTGTCATTCAGGATTTGTGGGACACTAATAAATGCAAGTTTCATGAGAGTGAATTTTTGGCTCAGCTGAAGTCAGTAACATATGGAATAGAAATATGCTATTGCTATAGATTCTCAACCTCTGAGAACCCTAGTGGGATGAAAATGACCTAAGAATAGGTGCATTGTTAATAGTCTTATTTTATCCTTCCATGTCCATCTTTTAATGAAGTTCTTCTGATTTTCCACATACTGGGAAAGATACATTTTCATCTACCCTATTGCCTCAGTTACATCAACATTTGTAGATATCCTTGACAACAGTGAGCACAAATTATTCATCTTTGTATTCTCGTATGGCATTTTTTTCAGATTATTGCATATAATACATACTGAATAAATATTTGTTGAATAATTGTAGAATTTATTTTTGAGATTTGGAATTCACATTTCATGTTTTATACTAGTTCATTTCTGCTGAAGGAATGAATGTACTATGATAGTTGATGAAAAGATACTAGATTGTGAAAATAGATACTTGGTCAGCCTATGTGTGAGTTGCCATATGAATTTGAGCATACGACAAATGTAATATATGTAGAATAATCTATTTTTTATTGTTTACCTAACAAACTCTTCCTTGTCTTATCATATATGTGGCCTCCTCTACAGAGCCCCAGCTGCACCCATCCTATACCGACAGTTAGACCTCTCCCTCTTTGGTGCTACCATAGCATCTTCTCACTTCTTTCATGGGACTTTATCACTTGATGATTCTATATTTCTTAATTTCACCCATTAGATTGTGAGCTCCTTGAGGGCAGGGACGATGTCTTACTCATGTCTATATCTTGACTCCTGTCACATTTTTGGATAAATAATTAATGCTCAATCCATATTGCTAAATGATTAAAAGTACATGTCAAATGGTCAAAAAAGGAACACTGTCTGCTTTATGTCATATTATGAAAATAAACAAGTTATTTTGTGAAAAGTGATAGCTTCTCAGAGGGAAAAAAGGTATTGCATTTCTTTTACTTGTGTGTTATTAGTCATATGAAAATACAATGTTTTTATGTATGAAATGGCTGATTTGAAAGAGTATATAAACATAGACATACTGTGTTTGCCTTTTTTAAAAAAAGGGCTGTTTAAATGGGTCCTAAGATAACTTTTTGATAATGTAATATTGACATGATAAAATTGTAAACTTCATAATTCTGGCACAGGAACAATTTATGAAAACATACTAAGGTATTTGTAAATTGATGAAATAATATATATCTTAGGAAAGTCATAATTATTACACTTGTACATACCCTTAAAATAAAAGAGCCTGCTTGAAATGTTGCAAAAAGAAACAGAAATACCTGCTAATATGCCCTTCTAATTAAGGATGATGCCAATTAATC